>NC_000017.11:5188080-5339595 GCF_000001405.40 Homo sapiens | reverse complement strand
GAACTCCTGACCTCAGGTGATCCACCCACCTCAGCCTCCCAAAGTGCTGGGATTATAGGCATGAGCCACCGCGCCCAGGCTTCTTTTAAGACAGAGTCTCACTCTATCACGTAGACTGGAGTGCAGTGGCATGATCATGGTTCACTGCAACTTCAACCTTTTGGGTTGAAGTAATTCTCCCATCTCAGCCTCTCAAGTAGCCGGGACCACAGGCACACACCACTATAACTGGCTAATATTTTCAGTCTTACCTTGTGGTTTGATTTTAGGCATAGCTCTTACAAGTAACATAAAGTTAGATTTTTACAATCCAATGTGATAATCTCTTTTAAACATAGGTATCAGTTTACATTTACCAAGACTATTGATAAATTCCCATTTATTTTCATATTGTTTTTATTTTCTTATGCTTCTTTTGTTCCTACTTTCTTCCTTTTTTTCTTTGGGTGTGGGGGACAGGGTCTCACTCTGTCACCCAGTCTGGAGTGCCAGTTCACTGTAGTCTCAAACTCCCGGGCTGAAGTAATCCTCCCATCTCAGTCTCCCAAGTAGGTGGGACAACAGGCATGCACCACCGTGTCTGGCTTTTTAAAAAATTTTTGTAGAGACAGGGGTCTCACTATGTTGCCCAGGCTGGTCTCAAATTCCTGGGCACAAGCAATTCTCCCGCCTCAGCTTCCTGAAGTATTGGGATTACAGGTGTGAGCCACAACACCTGGCCTGTTCCTACTTTAATTCTTTTGCTGTGTCTTTATGGCCAACAAATTCAGCAATACTATAGCTACATTATCTCTAAAAGATCAATGCTGGAGCTGGCATCAGAAAACAAGGTCAACTTCGAACAGTTTATTTTCCTTAATAGGAAAATGAATGAGACGGGGTCTCATTTTCTTAAGAAAATGAACATTAACTTTGTGACAAAGCAGCCACTTGTGATAAAACATCATTATTGTGATTATTTTAAATGTCCATAAGAGCAAAACCATCTCAAAGCAGTTTTTTGCATTTAAATTTATTTTTTATTATTGAGACAGAATTTCGCTCCTGTTGCCCAGGCCGGAGTGCAAAGGCACAATCTCAGCTCACTGCAACCTCCGCCACCGGGCTTCAAGCGATTCTCCTGCCTCAGCCTCCCGAGGCTGGGAGCAGCCGGGATTACAGGCATGCGCCACCATGCCTGGTTAATTTGTATTTTTAGTAGAGATGGGGTTTCTCCATGTTGGTCAGACTGGTCTCCAACTCCCAACCTCAGGTGATCCGCCCGCCTCAGCCTCCCAAAGTGCTGGGATTACAGGCGTGAGCCACCTCGCCCGGCAGTTTTTTGCATTTTAAAGAAAGATTCTTAAGATGCATAGTCTAAATTACAGGTTTTTTTCCCTATTACTGATTCTAATTTTGTTCATGGCATTGGGGCAGAAACTTGGGTTTCAAGCAAATGGATTACAATGTTTCATAACCTTTGAGGCCTCCAGCTCTTTAATTTTGTCTTCAGCCTCTGTCAGTTTATCCTTCAAAGCTGCAATTTCCTTTTCCATTGGCATCACAACGGACCGAAGTTTCTCAGCATCCTCTTGGGCCTATGGTTAAAAAGAATTAAATGCTACGACTTATTCATTTACTGCTTTTCTAAGAAACTCTAACCCTTCCATTTGCTAAAAATTATTATAACAAGTAACTTGACCAGACACTATATTAATATTCGCAAAACTGAACTAATGTCTAACTTTCAAATAGTGCATTACTTTGAATGTCAAGGTATAACTGAGTTTTCCCAAATATTCCATTTAGAATTCGGGAGTAAATGGGAAAATTGATTCACTAAAACAAATTTGACTTCTTAATCAATTAAGAAAATATCCCATATATAAAAGGAAATACACATAATAAATAAATTTTTTTTTTTGAGACGGAGTCTCGCTCTGTCACCCAGGCTGGAGTGCAGTGCCACGATCTCCGCTCACTGCAAGCTCCACCTCCCAGGTTCACACCATTCTCCTGCCTCAGCCTCCCGAGTAACTGGGACTACAGGCGCCTGCCACCATACCCAGCTAATTTTTTTTTTATTATTATTTTTAGTAGAGACAGGGTTTCATCGTGTTAGCCAGGATGGTCTCGATCTCCTGACCTCATGATCCGCCCGCCTCGGCCTCCCAAAGTGCTGGGATTACAGGCGTGAGCCACCGCGCCCAGCCCATAATAAATAATTTTTAAAATTCCTGGGTTAGTAAGTTCATGAGACAATAATTTCTTATGAATAATGAAAGGGCTGATTACATTTTAAACACCCAAAATAGAATAACGTGTTTTCTAAAATGTTAGAAAATTATGTTGCTATAAAAAGGCTTCCATCCAATTAAACAGAGTACTTTAAATACTATTTTACTTTTACCATCTAAATGAAACAAACACAAAGAGTGACCCCTTAAAACTATCATTGCTTTCCCAAGTCCATTCTCAAAAACATGGATTAAAAGGAACCAACTTACATAAACTAGTAAACTGGTGAGAAAATGAATTTTCATTTCTTATATACACATACACTTACACGCAGAGAAACAAAGGCAGGCTCAAAAAGTTGGCTTTTTTCCTTCTAGAGAAACTGAAAACCTAATTCACTGAATTTAAATGAGTGCAAAGTTATACTAAGTTGTGCACGATAGGGAAAAATATCATAAATGCCCAAACGTGAGGGGGATTTTCCCCAAATAACATACCCCTCAAAAAACAGGTTCAGATTCACTTTGTTTTCAGGTCCTTACACAAAGCCATCATTTATTTTATTTTGAATTAAATACTATTTGGAAAAGACAAGTTAAAATATCTCAGTCAAGGCTAGTTTAGGATGCTTATAAAGGTCATCTGATAAAAAACAACAGGAAAAAAAAGGAGGGAGGAAGCAAAGAACTGATCACAAATCAAGTTATTTATTAATATAAATATGACTTCACAATTCCAAGTGCTGAATGTCATCATAAACAAAACCTTTAAAAAGCACTTTAAAAAATGACAGAAAGGTCATTAAAAACAAGAAAAATCTGAGAAACTGTCACAGCCAAGAGGCATCTAAGGAGACACAACTAAATGCAATATGGTATCCTGGATGGGATCCTAGAACAGAAAAAAAAGGACATTAGGTAAAAACTAATGCAATCTGAATACAAAAATGGACTTCAGTTAATAAGAATAAATTGATAGAGGCTTATTAGCTGTGACAAATGTACCATGCTAATGTAAAACATTAACAACAGGAGAAACTAGGCATGGAGTATATAGGAACTCTGTACTATCTTCCCAATTTTTCAGATAATCAAAAACAGTTCTAAAATTGAAAGACTGTGGAAATCATGAATATACATGCATTTGAAGAATGAACTAAGAATTAGGAACCAAAAAGGCATGATCAATTCAATTGAAAAGAAAAATCAATTACTAATTATTTTATACAATGTGATTTTAAATGTGTATGCATATAAAATAATGTAAAAGTTTATTTAAACTAGCTAAAAAGCTTTTAATATTTTCTCAATGATAAAATGTCTCAATTTACATTTAGTTGCCCTATGTTCAAGTATTATATGGTATTATGTTCAAGCATATGTGGTACATAATATGTGGTACACAGAAACCAAAGGATACCGAGAAAGAAGGAAAACTAACATCTATTCTAAAACTTTGCTTTAGACACAATCATCAAGCAACAACACCCACTCAACTGGTATTTAGGAGTTCAAGCACCTATCTCCTAGACACTATGCTAGGCATTTAGGATATACAAATAAAAAACAAGCACATGTACCCCTGAAGCTATTAAAAAAAAAGAGAGAAAGAGAAACTCCTGCCTTCACAGAGCTTATATTTTAGCAAGGAAAGAAAGACAGTAAACAATAAACACAATAGGTGAACTCTGTGTAGTATAAGGAAATATGTGCTATGGAAAGAGAAAAACTAGAGAAGGATAAGGGAGAGGAGAGTAGTGACAGGTGGCAGAGGGAAGTTGGCAGGTTGCAATGTTAAATGGCGGGTGGTCGGGAAAAACCCCATGAAGTAGTGATATTTGATCAAAAATGTGAAGAAGGTGAGAGAGTTAGCCATAGATATAACATTATTTAGTACTATGTTTAGGTCTGTGTCCAAATAATTATTCTCACAGGAAATATCAAAGTACTTCTATTACTTTCTATTACACAACAATATTAAAGCATTTTGCATTTGAATTCAAATATTTCTACAAATGAACACATTCCTTCATACCTTTTTCATTTCATTTTCTAAATTTTCCTCCTCTTGACCTTCAGACAGCCTTCTTCTTAAATCAGCTATTTCCCTCTCTGCGGATTCTCTATACTGTGCCCACTGTGTTCGCTCCTGCTCCAGCCTAAGGTGGAACTGGTGCTCATAGTCACGAACTGTTTCTACAAAACATCACCACATATTTCACATCTAAGCATTATGAAAAAAAAATAACCTGGCACACTAAATTTTTTAAAGTTATATAAAAAGCTTACGTCTAATTTCTGGAAAATGTTTAATTCACTAAAAAACAAGACAAACTAGTTGTAGTTCTTATTATATACAGAAATAAGGGCTTTAAATCATCACTTCTAATCTTCACAATAAACCTGTGTCATATATTATTTTACGAAGGAGAAAACCTTAGGAAAGATTAAATAGTCTGGCCAATGTTTCATGCCCAGAATGAAGCAAAGCTAGAATTCGAACTTAAGGCCAACTCCAAAATCTATGTTCTTAGACACTATACTATGGCTCCCAAGGCAAATATAACATGTCGCCCCAATCCCACTACCTGAAAGTATACGAAAAGGGATATATTTCTGGAATAGTTTACCAGAACCCAAGATTGTAAGTTGAGGCAAACTCTATAAGGTCTTTAAAAAAATCGCTTTCTCTTTAATATAATCTTAAAACGTGGCCGGGCATAGTGGCTCACACACACCTGTAACCCTAGCACTGTGGGAGGCAGACGGGCAGATCACTTGAAGCCAGGATTTCAAGACAAGCCTGGCCGACATGGCAAAACCCCATCTCTACCAAAGATAGAAAAATTGCCGGGTGTGGTGGCTCATGCCTGTAATCCCAGCACTTTGGGAGGCCGAGGCGGGTGGATCACCTGAGGTCAGGAGTTCGAGACCAGCCTGACCAACAAGGTGAAACCCCATCTCTACTAAAAATACAAAAATTAGCTGGGCGTGGTGACAGGCACCTGTAGTCCCAGCTACTCGGAAGGCTGAGGCAGGAGAATCACGTGAACCCGGGAGGCAGAGGTTGCAGTGAGCCGAGATCATGCCACCGCACTCCAGCCTGGGTGACAGAGTGAGACTCTGTCTCAAAAAAAAGAGAAGGAAAGGGGAAGGGAAAGGGAAAAAAAAGAAAAGATTATTTGGGTGTGATGTCGCCATGTCTGTGGTCCCAGCTACTTGGAAGGCAGAGGCACGAAAATTGCCTGAACCCAGGAGGCGGAGGTTGCAGTGAGCCAAGATCACACCACTGCACTCAAGCCTAAGTATCTCAAAAAAAAAAAAAAAAACCACTAGGTAACAGACCCTGTTGATTGCCCATTAATTTCCACTCCTTCTTCCTTACCAGTAAGACTCCAATTTTGTTTAGGAAATCAATGTGCGCAATTTTAAAACTACATTGTCCAGTTTCCCTTGTAGTTATGAGTGACCACACACTTGGTCAACAAAGCGAAAGGGATATGCTGGGTACTTCTAGAAAATTTTTGCTTTTCTGATGCAGACTGAAGGAGAAGCAGCTATTTTTCAGCTGAGGCAAAGATTAAGTTGAAAACCATATGCTAAGGATGAAAGAACAGAAGGGCTGAAGGAGTTTGAGGCATTGTTGACATCATGGAACCAATACAAAACCAGGCCTAGATTATCTACCTTTGGATTTCGTGTTCTGGGAGAAAAAGGAACTCCTAATTTGGTAAGCCACTGTAGTTGGGTTTGTTATATGAAGCCTAGAGTAATCTCTAGGCCATAGCTATACACTCAGAAATAGGGCTAGCCTCACCTGCCTTTTTATAAAGAGCACTAAGGCAAAAAGTGATACACAATTGCAAACACGGTGGAAAAAGTCATCACTATTTCACATTTAGAATATTAACTAATCTGGGCCAAGCATGGTGGCTCACACCTGTAATCCCAGCACTTTGGGAGGCCGAGGCGGGCAGATCACGAGGTCAGGAGATCGAGACCATCCTGGCTAACATGGTGAAACCCAGTCTCTACTAAAAATACAAAAAATTAGCCGGGCGTGGTGGCGGGCGCCTGTAGTCCCAGCTACTTGAGAGACTGAGGCAGGAGAATCGCTTGAACCTGGAAGGCGGAGGTTGCACTGAACCGAGATGGTGCCGCTGCACTCCAGCCTGGGCAACAGAGTGAGACTCCATCTCAAAAAGTAAAAAATAAAATAGAATATTAACTAATTCCAGGAACTCAAAGATTCAGTGACCACTTACTTTGTTTCATCATCATCTTCTCAGAAATTTGGGAAGTAATTCAGCACTAGTGCCAAAAGGAGTCTGAGACTAAACTACGTCTCTTCTTTTAGACGAAAGGTCATAAGCTGGCAGCCCATGAAGCCTACCTTAGCCCATAGGCCATTCTACCCAACAGAGTGCAGTGAAGATTTCACATACAAAGTTTCTTAAAAAATCTAAACCAGGCCAGGCGCTGTGGCTCACACATGTAATCCCAGGACTTTGGGAGGCCGAGGCAGGTGGATCACCTGAGGTCTCAGGAGTTCAAGACCAGCCTGACCAACATGGCGAAATCCCGTCTCTACTAAAAATACAAAATTAGCTGGGCGTGGTGGCACATGCTTGTAATCCCAGCTACTCGGGAGGCTGAGGCAGGAGAATCGCTTGAGCCCGGGAGGCAGAGGTTGCAGCGAGTACAGTGAGCTGAGACTGCGCCACTGCACTCCAAGCTGGACAACAGAGCGAGATTCCATCTCAAAAAAAAAAAAAAAAAAAAATTCTAAAACGTATGGCCAAACTACACTGGAAGGGCAATAATTAGCTGAAGCTCATCAATGTAAACAGTTACTTTACCCTTTGCATGGCAGCTCTCTCTACTCCAGCACATTCCCTGTGCCCATACAGCTTAATTATTTGAGATTACTAGCCTGCCTCCTAGAAGAAATCGACTTTTAAGCCTTACAATGAACTATAGTCCTCATTTAATGCATTATCTCTATAACATCCCTATTATAACTCTCCATTATTAAGTTAGATACGATTGATATATCCATTTATGTTATTAGTGACTTCTCTTTTATCTGAAAGTATATCTTGATGATGACAGTACATAAAACCACAAATGAAACTCTGTATATATTTTAAGATTCTCTGAAAATATTCTCAATCATCAGAATCGGATATCTTAGAAAATCACAAAATTGATCTTTCTCTGTCTTTACCTTTCATAACAGCCTGAAGTGAAGCAACTTCTTCTCTCCACTGTCTTTTCACTTCATCTATAGCTTCTTGCTTGGTGTTCTCAGAGACTGTGGCAATCGCCTTAATATTCTCCATCTCTGCTTGAGCTTCCCACAGCTGGGTTCGAAGGTGTCCCAAATCATCTTGTGCAGCTTGTAATACTGCATTTTGCCTCTTCAGATCCTCTGGAGAGAAAAGTAAAAGATAGTCCATTAATGTTCACTTTGATCAGACTGGCATTCCAATAAAGAAATAAGGTATTAAATTTTAAAATATAAACATACAAAATGACACCCTTTTAATAGAGGTGAGATTTAAGGTAAGCTGGGTATCACAAATCAATTGTTACTATCTATCTAATGATCCAGTAGTTACAGTCATGGTTTTAGAGCTCAATTTACGCATTCCCGTCTGCTGACTAAATGAACTTGGTCATGTTATTTAATCTCTCTGGCCTAAGTTTCCACATCTGCAAAATGGAAGTTAAAAACAGCCACCTCACAAGGTTGTTGTAATGATAATTTATTGGAAACGCTAATTAGTACATTACCTTCCACAAACATTCAAAAAATGTTTAATAAAAGAGAAAAGAAAGCCAGAGCACATGGCAGTGACTAGACGTATGTTCTTTAAAGTTAGCATTAATTTCTCGGCTCCCTCTTACCATCTTTTAAATACTAAGTTGATGTAATGTGCCTACTACATGGTTTAAGCCCAGGCAGAACATATGTTTGGCCAAACTAACTTCAAAAAAAAGATGAACTTATCAACAGTATACAGGGATGTGTGATTGTTTTCCCATACCCTTAACAACAGTCACTATTTTCCATCTTTTAAAAATTCTTGTAAATATCATGGGTAGCAAATGGTCACTTTAATCTACATTTTCCCTGTTAATAAGGAGTTTGAGCATCTTCTCATATATGTACTAGTGACTCATTTCCTCTTTGGTGACATTCTTTACATTTGCTTCTAATGAATGATTTTCCTTCTGATCTGTAAGAGCATTTTATATATTCTGGATATTAAGTCTGTCTTCTCTTACAAAACTTTTCCCAGTCAGCCGCTGTGTTTCTTTAAAAAAAAAAAAAAAAAAAAAAAAAAAAGTTAAGAGATAGGGTCTCAATTGTCGCACAGGCTGGAGTGCAGTGACGCAAACATAGACCACTATAACCTCAAATTCCTGGGCTCAAGCGATCCCCCCACCTCAGCCTCCTGAGTAGCTAGGACTGCAGGCATGCACCATCACGCCCGGCTAATTTTTGAAATTTCTTGTAGAGACAAAGTTTCACTACGCTGCCCAGGCTGGTCTTGGCCTCCTGGGCTGAAATGATCCTCCCGCCTCAGCCTCCCAAAGCGTTGGGATTACAGGTGTGAGCCACCGCGCCCGGCCTTAACTTACGCCTTTTAGCATCTAAAGTTGTAAGGTATTTATGAAAAAAAAAATTCTTCATCTTTGTAAAAGTATCAATTTCCTCTCCAAAGCACAATAACTGAGCCAAACTGACCATGAAAATAAACTGATTTAAGGTCTAATTCTACCGCTAACCAGCTGTATGACTTTAAGGAAATCACAAGATTCTCAAGCCTCAGTTTCCTCATGAAGACAGTGGCAATACTTTCTTGCATAAATTTCTAACTACTTATAAAAATCCAATAGTAAAATAAGAGAACTTTTAAACGTTGTGAAATGTTCATTGTTATCACAGGAGTTAATGATTTGGTAGTCAAAGTCACAGAGGGAAACACCTAGTCATGCTAAGTTGTTTTGAAATCTTTACTCTCTCAACATCAGTTTCCATCACTCTTAAAATATTTTGAATCTCTAGCCAAAGACAGTTTTAAGAACATTAATTAAAAAAGTAATTGTGTGAAGTCCCTTAAAGACAGACACCTGGGAAGTTGTGGTAGGCATGCAAATAGACAGACCCAGAAAGATGTAAACACGTGAAACCACAAAGGAAAAGTTTATGTGTGTCAACTCTGTATTCTGAGTGTTAAACTGTTTCATAAAATGTGAAAAAAGAAAAAGCATTATTTCTGGGATACTTTATTCATTTTTGGGTACTACAATTTTATCAAGGCTCAAGTTTATACACTTAACAGGTCCTCATGCTAATTACCTCTGGTACTTTTGATTTGCTGGAGATTACCCAGAGCTATTCACTACCATGTTGTCATTATGAACAGAAAAACTGTAAACAAATACCAAGCCTAAATATCCATTTTTGGCACTTAAAAGTGAAATAGAGAGCCTGGAGGAAGACTTGGTCAACAGTAACTTTAGTTATATATATATATATATATATATATATGAACATATATATGAATGTTATATTTATATATATAAATACAAAAAAACAGGAGACAGAAATTTAAAATAAAGTTAGAAAATCTTAATTTTTTGTAGTAAAGCATTTCAAACATTATGTTTGCCAACAGTAGGAGTTCTAACATTCGTTTATTGCTTTTACTGCTGTATATGTAATTATTAAGATTTTCAAACATATTCAAAAGTTGAGGGTATACTACAACAATCCTTCATATAGCTTTCACCAAGACTCAAAAGGTATTAAGATTTGCCATGCTTATTTATTTTTTTGAGACGGAGTCTCGCTCTTGTTGCCCAGGCTAGAGTGCAGTGGCACGATCTTGGCTCACTGCAACCTCTGCCTCCCGGGTTCAACAGATTGTCCTGCTTCAGCCTCCCAAGTAGCTGGGATTACAGGCGCGTGCCACCACGCCCAGCTAATTTTTGTATTTTTTAGTAGAGACGGGGTTTCGCCTTGTTGGCCAGGCTTGTCTTGAACTCCTGACCTCAGGTGATCGCCCGCCTCAGCCTCCCAAAGTGCTAGGATTACAGGCGTGAGCCACCACACCCAGCCTGCCATGCTTATTTAAACTATCCTTTTTCTTTCCTGTAGTATTTTAAAGCAAGCCCCAGAAATACTACATTATCTAACGTACTGTACAGATGCATCTCTAAAAATATGGACAGTTTCTTATATAAACAAAGTACCACTGTCACACAAAACAAAATTAACAACTGCCTGATAACTAATACCAAATCTCTGGTAAAACTTCTCCAATTGACAAAAAAAAAAAAAAAAAAAAGTCTTTCTGAATATTTGTTTAAATTAAGATCAAAACAAGATTCAAGTACTTCATTTGGTTATACTAATAATTTATTTTTTTTTTTTTGAGACAGTCTCACTCTGTCGCCCAGGCTGGAGTGCAGTGGCGCAACCTCTGCCGCCCAGGTTCAAGTGATTCTCCTGCCTCAGCCTCCCGAGTAGCTGAGATTACAGGCGCCTGCCACTGCGCCTGGCGAATTTTTGTAGTTTTAGTAGAGACAGGGTTTCACCATCTTGGCCTGGCTGGTCTTGAACTCCTGACCTCGTGATCCACCTGCCTCGGCCTCCCAAAGTGCTGGGATTACAGGCGTGAGCCACTGCGCCCGGCTTTTTTTTTTTTTTTTTTTTTTTTTTAACACAGCGTCTCACTCTATCGCCCAGGCTAGAGTGCAGTGGTGCGACCTCAGCTCACTGCAATCTCTGCCTCCCAGGCTGAAGTGATCCTCTCACCTCAGCTTCCCACGTAGCTGGGACTATAGGCACATGCCAATACACCCAGCTAATTTTTGTATTTTTTTGTAGAGAGGGAGTTTTGTCATGCTGCCCAGGCTAGTCTCCAACTCCTAGGCTCAAGTGATCTGCCCACCTCAGCCTCCCAAAGTGCTGGGATTACAGGCATGAGCTACTACGCCTGGCCTATACTAATGCTATAAAGCATTATAAACTACTTCAAGCATAGAAACAATATAAAAAATCCTATAATGGGCACCTATTACCTATCACCTAGATCCATCATTTTTAATATTTTGCTACATCTCCTTCCATTTCTTTTTAACTTCAGGAAACAAAACATCACAAATACACTACCTTCCTCTGAGGTAACAACTGTCAGGAATTTGGGTTTATCATTACAGTGCGTATATGTTACATCTTTACTTACGTCGCAGGTTTTGAAACCTTAATGTTCTTTTGCAGTTACTTCTTAGCCCTCAACATTGTTGACTGTTGATAACTACTTCACTCATTAATTAGAATATCACAGTCTCAATATATCATATATTATGTTCACAGGTATCAGGTGTGAAACTGAAACCTGCTTTATCTGTATAGACGTTCTCATTGTCCTATGCCCATTGTCCCAGTCTTTTCCCATTTTGACAATGTCATCTTTGTCATATTTCAAATTTTCACATTTGTGAGGGTCCCATTTGGGGAACTCTGTTCTATAAAAATTGTCTATTTTCATGCCAATACTTTATATACTGTCTAACATAGCTTTATACTGTTTTGCCTACTTTTGTCTATTTTTAAATGTTTACATAAGAAAAAGTTTAACAAAAAGGTAATGATCATTTTGAGTAAGTGGGGAAATTTGCCCTACCAGATACCAAAAATTATTATAAAATTCATGTATGCACCAGCCAGCTCCAGTAACCATACACTCATGGCAAATCATCCCCAATCCATCCATATGCACTCCATATATACTGTGAGACAAATCTCAGACACATAGTCACATGCAAAATAATCACGTTTTAGTCAACAACAAAAAACATACACAACAGTGGTTACATGAGATTATAGGGGCTGAAAAATTCTTACTGCCTAGTGACATCTAGCCATGGTAACATCATACTGCCAAACATCTTGTCTATGTTTAGCTATGTTGCTTTTTGGGTTTTGTTTGTTTTTTGGGGTTTTTTTTTTTTTTTGAGACAGAATCTCACTCTGTCTCCCAGGCTGGAATGCAGTGGCATGATCTCGGCTCACTGCAACCTCCAACTCCCAAGTTCAAGCGATTCTCCTGCCTCAGTCTCCCAAGTAGCTGGGATTACAGGCATGTGCCACCACACCCTGCTAATTTTTGTATTTTGGGTAAAGACGGAGTGTCGCCATGTTGGCCAGGCTGATCTCGAACTCCTGACCTCAGGTGATCCGCCCACCTCGGCCTCCCAAAGTGCTGGGATTACAGGCGTGAGCCACCGTGCCCAGCCTGTTTAGCTATGTTTAATACAAAAATATCACTGTGTTGTAACTGCTTACAGCATTCAGTACAGTAACGTGCTGTACAGCTTTTCAGTTTAGTAGCAATAGGCTATACCATGTAGCCTACATGTGTAGTAGGCTATATAACATCTAGGTTTTTGTCAGTACATTCCGCGTTCGCACAAGGACAAAATCACCAAACGATGCATTTCTGAGAATGTATCGCCATCACGAAGCAATGCATAACTGTATTTTCTTATTTTTTTAATAAACGTTTTAGCAGTTTCAGGTTCTCAGCAAAATTGAGCAGAAAATACAGAGGTTTCCCATATGCCCCACACCCCTGTACATCCACACTCCTCTACTACAGGCACCCTGTACCACAGTGGCACATTTGATACAACTGATGAACCCACACTGGCACACTATCATCACCCACTTCGTTTACACTAGGGTTCACTCTTAAATGTGCTACATTCTATGGGTTTTAACAAATGTGTAACGACATGTTCCCACCACCACAGTATCATATAAAATAGTTTCACTGCTCTAAAAATTCTCTGTACTCTACATATTCACCCCCTCTTCCTCCTACCCCTGGCAACCACTGATCTTTTTTTTGTTTCCACAGTTTTGCTTCTTCTAGAATGTCATATGCTTGGAATCATACAGTATATGGCCTTTTCAAATTGCCTTCTTTCACTTAGTAGTTTGCATTAACATTCCTCCATGTCTGTTCATGACTTAATAGCTCATTCCTTTTTAGCATGGAATAATATTCCACTGTCTCAATATACCAGTGTATTCATCCATTAACCTATTGAAGGACATCTTCCATGCTTCGAAGTTGTGACAATTATGAATAAAGCTGTTATAAATATATTTGTGCAAGTTTTGGGACAAAGCTTCTCAAGTCATTTAATTGCATACCAAGGAGCATGACTGCTGAATCAAAAGGCAAGAGTATGCCTAGTTTTGTAAGAAAGCACTAAACTTACATCCCAAAGTGGCTACGTCATTTTGCATTCCCACCAGCAATGAATGCTGCTGTTGCTCCACATCCTCACCAGCATTTTTTGGTATCGGCAGTATTTTGGATTTAGGCCATTCTCACAGTCTAATAATCTTTTCATATACTTACTTGCCGTCTGTATAGACTCTTTAGTGAGGTGTTTGGGTCTTCTGCCCATTTGGTAATGTGGCTGTTCATTTTGTTACTGTTGCATTTTATTTTTATTGATGCACATGTACATAGTTAAAGTACATGTGATAATACATTAATGTAACTTGTAAAAATCAAACTGGGTGTAGTTCGGGTATCTATCACCCTAAATATTTGTCGGTTTTTTTTTTCTTTCATCCCATGGACACCAAGGGTTGTCTTTTCTTTATGCTAGAACCATTCGAATTCTTCTATTTTGAAATCTAGAATAGATTACTGTAAACAAGAGTCACCCTATTGATCTGTTTAACACTAGGTCTTATTTCTTCTATCAAACCACATACTCATACCCATTAATCAACTTCTCTTCATCTCCCCAGACCCCCGCTTTCCCTGACCTTCGTACCACCAATCTAGTCTATCTTCTCATGAGATCCACTTTTTTAGCCTCCACAAGTGAGACCATGTGATACTTGTCTTTCAGTGCTTGGCTTATTTCATTTAACATAATGACTTCCAGTTCCATCCATGTTGCTGCAAATGACAGGATTTCATTCTTTCCTTTTTTTTTTGGACGGAGTTTTGCTCTTGTTGCCCAGGTTGGAGTGCAGTGAGTGGCACGATCTTGGCTCACTGCAACCTCCACCTCCCGGGTTCAAGCGATTCTCCTGCCTCAGCTTCCCAAGTAGCTGGGATTACACGCAGGCACCACTACGCCTAGATAATTTTTGGGTTTTTTTTTGGTTTGTTTTTGCTTTTTTAGTAGAGACGGGGTTTCACCATGTTGCCCAGGCTGGTCTCGAACTCCTGAGCTCAGGCAATCCACCTGCCTTGGCCTCCCAAAGTGCTAGGATTATAGGCATGAGCCACCATGCCCAGCGATTTCATTTCTTTTGGATATATACCCAATAGTGGAATTGCTGGATCATATGGCAACTCTTATTTTAGTCTTTTGAGGAACCTCCATACTATTCTCCACAGTGGCTGTACTAACTTACATTCCCACCATCAGTGGATGAATGCCTGTCTTTTTGATAAAAGCAATTTTGACTGTGGTGACAGGATATCCCATTGTAGTTTTGCTTTGCATTTCTCTAATGATTAGTGATGTTGAGCATCTTTTCACATACCTCTTGGCCATTTACGTCTTTTGAAAAATGCCTATTTGAATCTTTTGTGTTTAAATAAGATTTGCTTCTTTAACAAATCTTCTTCATACATTGTAGTTATTAATCCCTTATGAGATGGGTAGTTTGCAAATATTTTCTCCCATTCTGTAGCTTGTCTCTTCACTTTGTTTCCCTTATTGTGCAGAGGCTTCTTAGCCTGATGCAATCCCATTTGTCTATTTTTGCCTATGCTTTTGAGGTCTTACACACACACAAATCTTTGCTCAGACCAATGTCTGTTTCCCAAGTGTTTTCCTCTAGTGGCTTCATAGTTTCAGGTCTTAGATTTAAGTCTTTAATCTACTTTGATTGTTGTGTATATATGGAGAGAGATGGGGCCTAATTTCATTCTTCTGCAAATGGTTACCCAGTCATCCTACCACCATTTATTGAAGAGACTTTCCTTTTCTCATTGAATATTCTTGGTGCCTTTGTTGCAGATGAGTTGACTGCAAAATGCATGGATTTGTTTCTGGGTACTCTATTCTGTTCCATTAGTCTACGTGTCAGTTTTTATGCCAGTGCCATGCTGATTGGGTTACTATAGCTTTGTAGTAAATTTTAATGTTATATAGTGTGATTCCTCCAGCTTTGTTACCTTTGCTAAGTATAGCTTTGGCTATACAGGGTATTTCACAGTTCCATATAAATTTTAAGATTTTTCTGTTTCTGTGAAAAATGTCATTGGTATTTTGATAGGATTTGTATTGAATCTGTAAATTGCTTTGGATAGTATTGTCATTTCAACAATATTAATTCTCCTAAATCCATGACCACGGACCATCTTTCCATTTGTATGTGTGTCCTCTTCAATTTCTTTCATTGGTGTTTTACAGATCTTTCGCTTCTTTGGTTAAATTGATTCCTAGATATATATATATATTCCTAGATATATATATATATTCCTAGATATATATATATATTCCTAGATATATATATATATTCCTAGATATATATATATATTCCTAGATATATATATATATTCCTAGATATATATATATTCCTAGATATATATATATTCCTAGATATATATATATATTCCTAGAGAGAGATATATATATATATCACCAATGAAAGAAATTGAAGAGGACACACATACAAATGGAAAGATGGTCTGTGTTGTGTGTGTATGTGTGTGTTTTGTAGCCATTGTAAATGAGATTGCTTTGATTTCTTTTTCAGGCTGTTCACTGTTGGTATATATTAATGCTAATGATTTTTGTGTACTGATTTTGTGTCCTGTGATTTTACTAAAGTTATCAGTCAACAGTTTTTTGGTGGTGTCTTTAAGTTTTTCTAAATATAAGACTGTGTCATCTGTGAACAAGACAAACTTAACTTCATGCTTTCCAATTTGGATGCCCTTTATTTCTCTTGCCTAAGTGTTCTGGCTGCAATTTCCAATACTATATTAAATAAAACTGGCTGAAGTGGGCGTCCTTGTTCCAGATCTCAGAGGAAAGGCCTTCAACTCTTCCCCATCCAGTATGATGCTAGTTGTGGGTTTGTCATGTATGGATGGCCTTCATTATTTTGAGGTATGTTCCTTCGACACACAATTTGATGAGGGTTTGTATCATAAAGAGGTGCTGAATTTTACTGAATGCTTGTGCAGCATCTATTGATATAACCATACAGTTTTTGTTGTTGTTGTTGTTTGTTTTTTTTGAGACAGTCTCTCACTCCATCACCCAGGCTGGAGTGCAGTGGCATAATCTCAACTCACTGCAACACCATCTCCCAGGTTCAAGCAATTCTCATGCCTCAGCCTCCAGAGTAGCTGGGATTGCAGGTGTGCACCACCATGCCCGGCTAATTTTTTGAATTTTTTGTAAAGACGGAGTTTCACCATGTTGGCCAGGCTGGTCTCAAACTCCTGGCCTCAAGTGATCCACCCGCCTCGGCCTCCCAAAGTGTTGGGATTACAGGCATGAGCCACTGCACCTGGCCAACCATATGGCTTTTGTTCTTGGTTATGTTAATGTGATGTATCACATTTCTTTATTTGTGTATATCGAACCATCCTTGCCTCCTCAGGAGTAATCTACTTGATCGTGGTGGCTGATCTTTTTAATATGTTGTTGAATTCAGCTTGCTAGTATTTTTTTCAAGGATTTCCGTATCTACTGTGTAGTTTAATTCTGATGTCTCTTTGTTGATTTGCTGCCTGGATAATCTGTCCATTACTAAGAGTGGAGTGACAAAGTCCTCTATTATTGTATTGCAGTCTCTCTCACCCATCAGATTGGCTAATTGTTTTATATGTACTTGGAAGTACCAGTGTTAGGTGCATAGATATTTATAATTGTCCTCTTGCTGAATTGACCCCTTTATTATTATATGACCCTTTTTTCCTCTTTTTACGGTCTTTTCTTTTTTTTCTTTTGAGACAGTTTCACTGTCACCCAGACTTGGCATGCAGAGTGGCACAATCATAGCTCACTGCAACCTCAAACTCCTGGGCTCAAGGAATTCTCCCACCTCAGCCTCCCAAGTAGCTGGGACTACAAGCATGTACCACCATGCCTGGCTAATTTTTTTTGAGATGGAGTTTCACTTCTGTTGCCCAGGCTGGAGTGCAATGGCGCAATCTCAGCTCACTGCAACCTCCGCCCTCTGGGTTCAAGCGGTTCTCCTGCCTCAGCCTCCCAAGTAGCTGCGATTACAGGCACCCACCTCCATGCCAGGCTAGTTTTTTGTATTTCTAGTAGAGATGGGGTTTCACCATGTTGGCCAGGCTGGTCTTGAATGCCTGACCTCAGGTGATCCACCCGCCCTGGCCTCCCAAAGTGCTGGGATTAGAGGCGTGAGCCACCGCACCCAGCTTCCTGGCTAATTTTTAAATTTTAAATTTTGTTTTAGAGACAGGGTTGCCCAGGCTAATCACAAACTCCTGGCTTCAAGTGATCTCAACTAGGCCTCCCAAAGCAATGAGATTACAGGTATAAGCCACTGCACCTAGCTGTTCTTAAGTCTTAGATTTGTAGTCTATTTTAATCTGACGTAGGTGTACTTACTTACTCCTGCTCTTTTTTGGTTTCCAGTTGCATGAAATATCCTTTACTAGCTCTTCACTTTCATTTTATGTGTATCTTTACAGGTAAAGTGGGTTTCTTTCTTGGGTTATTTTTTTGAGACATGGTCATGCTCTGCTACCCAGGCTGGAGTGCAGAGGCACAAATACGGCTCACTGCAGCCTCAACCTCTCAGGCTCAAACAACTCTCCTGCCTCAGCCTACTGTGTATCTGGGACCACAGGCACATGCCAGCATGCCCAGCTAATTTTTGCTTTGTTCGTTTGAGATAGGGTCTTGCTCTGTCACCCAGGCTGGAGTGCTGTGGCACAATCACAGCTCGCTGCAGCCTTGACTTCCTGGGCTTAAACGATCCTCTCACCTCAGGCTTCCAAGTAGCTGGGACTACAGGCACATGCCACCACATCTGGCTAATTTTTGTATTTTTTAGTAGAGATGGGGTCTCAGTTTGTTGCCCAGGCTGGTCTCCATCTCCTGGGCTCAAGCAATCCTCCCACCCTGGCCTCCCAAAGTGCTGGGATTACAGGTGTGAGCCACTGCACTCAGCCAGTTTTATTTTTTGTAGAGCCAGGGTCTCACTTTGCTGCCCAGGCTGGCCTCAAACTCCTGGGCTCAAGTGATCCTCCCACCTCAACCTCCCAAAATATTGGGATTACAGGCATGAGCCACTGCACCCAGCCAAAGTGGGTTTCTTGTAGGCAGTATATAGTTGGGGCTTGTTTCTTTAACCATTCAGCCACTCAGGCTTTAAATTGGAGAACTGAGTCCATATACATTCAGTGTTGTTATTATCTATAAGAAAGGACTTACTACTGCCATTTTATTGCTTGTTTTCTGGTTGTTTTGTAACTCCTCTCTTCTTTCTGTCTTTGGGGCTAAGTGATTTTTTCTGGTAGTATGTCTTAATTCATTGCTTTTTATTTTTAGTCAATCTATTATAGGTTTTTGTTTTGTGTTTATCACAAGGCTTACAAAAAACATCTTGTAGATAACAAGTTACTTTAAAGACAACTTATCTTAAAAAATAGAAACAAAGAAATAAGTGGGAAAAAAACTTCTACAACTTAGCTCCACTTTCCCCACATTTTGAATTTAGTTGTCTCAACTTACATGTATCTACATTACCTATCTCTGAATAGGCTGCCATAGCTATTACTATTCTTGGTAGATTTGTCTTTTGGGCTTTATACTAGAGTTATCAACTGCAGTATTAAGAGTCTAACTCTGTCCATGTACTTAATTTTACCAGTGTGTTTCTTTTTCTTTTTTTTTTTTTTTTTTTTTTTGGTGTGTTAGCATTTTTTAAATTTCAAATGGAAGAACTCCCTTTAGCATTTCTTGTGGGATGGGTCTGGTAGTGGTCAATTCTCTCAAACTTCTGTCTGGGAAAGAATGTATCTCTCCTTCATATTTGAAGGATAACTTTGTTGGATATACAATTCTTAGATGTTAAATTTTTTTTTTCTTTCAGCACATTGAAGGTGTCATTCCACTCCTTCCTTACCTTTATGGTTTGTACTAAGAAGTCTGTTGACAAACTGACTGAAGCTCCATTAGGGTTATTTGCTACTTTTCTCTTGCTACTTTTAGGATCCTCTCTTTGTCCTTGACCACTGAGAGTTGGTTATTATATACCTTGGGGTGGTTTTATTTGGGACAAATCTCTTTGGTGTCCTCTGGCCTTCCTGCATGTGGATATTTATATCCTTCTCAAGTTTTGGAGAGTTTTCTGCTATTTCTTTGAATAAGCTTTCTACCCTTGCTCTTGCTCAACTCCCTCTTGAAGACCAACAATTCTTAGATTTGGTCTTTTGAAATAATTTTCTACATCCTGTAGGTCATCTTCACTGCTTTTTATTCTTTTTTGTCCTCTTTGTATTTTCAAACAGCCTGTCTTCAAGGTCACTGCTTCTTTCCTCTGCTTGATCCATTTTGCTACTGAGAGCCTCTGATGAATTTTCCAGTTGAGAAAATCTATTTATCAGTTCTAAGACTTCTGTTTAATTTTTTAATTATTTCAATATCCTTGTTAAATTTCTCTGGTAGGCTGGGTGTGGTAGCTCACGCCTGTAATCCCAACACTTTGGGAGGCCAAGGCAGGCAGATTGAGGTCAGGAGTTCGAGACCAGCATAGCCAACATGGTGAAACCCCATCTCTACTAAAAATACAAAAATCAGCCAGGTGTGGTGGCGGGCGCCTGTAATCCTAGCTACTTGGGAGACTGAGGCAGGAAAATCACTTGAACCTGGGAGGCAGAGGTTGCAGTGAGCCGAGATTGCGGCACTGCACTCCAGCCTGGGTGATGAAGTGAGACTCCACCTCAAAAAGGAAAAAAATATATATGTTTTTTTTTTTTGTTTTTTTGTTTTTTTTTTTTTTGAGACAGAGTCTCATTCTGTCACCAGGCTGGAGTGCAGTGGCATGATCTCAGCTCACTGCAATCTCTGCCTCTGGGCTCGAGCAATTCCCCTGCCTCAGCCTCCCTAGTAGCTGGGATTACAGGTGTGCACCACCACACCCGGTTAATTTTTTGTATTTTAGCAGAGACGGGGTTTCACCATGTTGGCCAGGATGGTCTGGAACCCCCGACCTCGTGATCCACCCACCTCGGCCTCCCAAAGTGCTGGGATTACAGGCATGAGCCACCACGCCCGGCCTAAACTTTTTAATTGAAAAATAGTAATTGTATATATGTATTGGGTACAAAGTGGTATTCTGATACATCTATACATTGTGAAATGATCAAATCAGTGCAATTAACATATCCATCACCTCAAATATGGTAAGTTACACATTGATTTTTGAATGTTGAACCAGTCTTGCGTACCTACACAAATGCCACGTGGCTGCAGTGTATAACTTTTATACATTGTTGGATTGGATTTGCTAAGATACTGTCAAGGAATCTTGCATCTATGTGCATGACAGATGTAAGTCTGTAGTTTTCATTAAATGTCTTTGTATGGTTTTGAGATTAGGATTATGCAGACCTCATAGAATGAGTTAGGAAGTATTCCCTCTGTTTCTATCTTCTGAAAGATTATAGAGAATAGAGACTCAGAGAGATTCGTATAACTCATGGTATAGTTTCTTCCTTAAATGGCAGATAGAACTCACCAGTAAACACAACTGGGCATAGTGCTTTCTTTTTTGGAAGGTTATTAATCATGAAGTTGTTCCATAATTTTCTTATATTATCCTTTTACTATATATGGGACCTAGAGTACAGTCTCCTCTTTCATTTCTGATACCAGTAATTTCTCGTTAGTAATCTTTTTTTACTTACATTGGCTTACTGTACTTTTTTGTAACAACTTCATTGAGATATAATTCACATACTACTTTTCGCCCACCAGTAACCAATCAGTAATTTTGATAGCATACTCCCATTGGGTGTCCTCTAATTTAATTCTGACACTATCTACCTGGAAATAACTCAGATCATACAAGCTGAAAATTCAGTCTAAGAAGACTGAAGTCCACTTCTGATATCAATTGTAAGCTTCAAAATTATTTTACCTGTGTTTCTCACTGACCAGCTATAAATCGAGGTTCCTACAACCATCTCCTTAGGTTTGATTAATTTGTTAATGGGCTCACAGAACTCAGGGAAACATTTATTTGCATTTACCAGTTTATTATAAAGACTATTACAAAGGATATAGAGAAAAAGGTGCACAGGACAAGGCACGTGGGAAGGAGCATGGAGCTTCTACGCCCTCTCTGGGGCACCACCCACCACGAACCTTCACATCTTCAGTTATCTGGAAGCTCTCCAAACCCTATCCTTTTTAGTTATTAGAGGCTTTATTACATGGACATGATTAAATGGCCACTAATGATCAACTTAACCTTTAGCTCCTCTCCTCTCCCTGGAGGTTGGGAGGTAGGGTTGGAAGTTCCAACCTCTAATCCTGTGTTGGTCTTTCTGGTGACCATCCCCTATCCTGAAATTACCTAGGGGCTGCCAGCCATCAGTCAGCTCATTAACAAAGACACCTATCACTTTAAAATTGTTAAGGCTTTTAAAAGTTATATGCCAGCAAACAGAAAACTACATATATATATATATATATATATCCTTTCCAGTATGGATTCCTTTCCTTTCCTTTTTCTTTCTTTCTTTGGGTAAGTGCCCTACATAGATCCTCACTTCTAGATGTTGAACAGAAGTGGTCAGAGTGTACATAATTGTCCTGTTTCTGATTTTAGGGGAAAGGCATTTGGTCTTTAAACATTAAGTGTGATGTTAGCTGTAAGTTTTTTGTAGAAGCCCATTTTCAGGTTGACAAAGTTCCCTTCTATTCCTATTTTAGTGTTTTTATCATGTAACAGTGTTAGGTTTTGTCAAATACTTTTTCTGTGTCTAGTAAGATGATCATGTGTCTCTGTTTTTTATCCTACTGATTTTCAGGTGTTGCACCAACCTTGCATTCCTGAGATGAATCCCACTTTTCATGCTGTGTGATTCTTTTTACCTGTAGCTTAATTTGATTTGCTAGTTCTTTTGTGAGAATTTTTGCATCTATATTCCCAAGTAATACTGGGCTAAGTTTCTTGTGATGTCTTCCTTGGTTTTGAGGTCAGGATAACACTAGCCTCAAAGAATAAGTGGGGATGTGTCTCCTCCAAAAATTAGCCAGGCATGGTAGCAGGTGCCCGTAATTCCAGCAACTCAGGAGGCTAGGGCAGGAGAATCGACTGAACCTGGGAAGCAGAGGTTGCAGTCAGCCGACATAGTGCCACAGCACGCCAGCCTGGGTGACAGAGCAAGACTTCATCTCAAAAGATAAACATTAAAAAAAAATTTTTAAATTTATCAATTTCTGTATTTTGTATTGTTTCTTATATTTTTTTTTTTTTTTTTTTTTTTTGAGACAGAGTCTTGCTCTGTCACCGAGGCTGGAGTGCAGTAGCGCGATCTCAGTTCACTGCAAACTCTGTCTCTTGGGTTCAGGCAATTCTCCTACCTCAGCCTCCCGAGTAGGTGGGATTACAAGCGCCTGCCACCACGCCCAGCTAATTTTTGCATTTCTAGTAGATACGGGGTTTCACCACGATGGCCAGGCTGATCTTGAACTCCTGACCTCATGCAATCCGCCCACCTTGGCCTCCCAAAGTGCTGGGATTATAGGCATGAGTCACCGTGCCCAGCCTATCCTATTTCTTACATCCTATATATTTCCTCTATGTTTTCTTTTTGCGAATGTCTATCACTCTACCAGCAGTTCTTTTTTTTTTTTTTTTTTTTTTTTTTGAGACAGAGTCTCACTCTGTCGCCCACGGTGGAATGCAGTGGCAAGATCTCGGCTCACTGCAACCTCCACCTCCCGGGTTCAAGCCATTCTCCTGCCTCAGCCTCCTGAGTAGCTGGGACTACGGCCCACACTGCCATGCCCAGCTAATTTTTTGTATTTTAGTAGACACACGGTTTCACCATGTTTCCCAGGCTGTTCTCAAACTCCTGAACTCAGGCAATCCGCCTGCCTCGGCCTCCCAAAGTGATAGGATTACAGGCATGAGCCACTGCAGCCGGCCTACTAGCAGTACTTTTAGTGATTATGTAGATGGCTAAGTGCTTAGTTTTTATATGCCTAAAATATCTATTTTGCCCTCACTCTTACATAATTTAGCAGCATATAAAATTTTAGGTTGACAATTATTTTTTCTCTGCACTTTGGAGATCTTATTTCATTGTCTTCTGGCATCTATGGTGTTTATGAAGTATCTCCTGTCATTGTAATTGTTTCTTTTCTCTGGTAGCTTTTCACATTTTCTTTTGATTCTTGATGTTCTATCTTACAAAAGATGTGTCAAGGTATGAATTTACTACTTTTTGTTTTGTTTTGTTTTTTGAGATGGAGTCTCACTCTGTGGCCCAGGCTGGAGTGCAGTGCTGCAATTTCAGCTCACTGCAACCTCCGCCTCCTAGGTTCAAGCAATTCTCCTGCCTCAGCCTCCCAAGTAGCAGGGATTACAGATGTGCACCACCATGCTCGGCTAGTTTTTTGTATTTTTAGTAGAGATGGGGTTTCATCATGTTGACCAGGCTGGTCTCAAACTCCTGACCTCAAGTGATCCACCCGCCTCAGCCTCCCAAAATGTTGGGATTACAGGCGTGAGCCACCATGCCCGGCCTGAATTTACTATTATTTTTCCTGTTTGGTACTCAGTATTTATGTTAAGGACTCACATTTTTTATTAGTAAAAATCTAAGTTATTATCTCTTCAAATATTCTTTACTATTCCTTCCATTCTCTTGCCCTGGAACTCTTTTCAGATGTGTGTTGAAGGCTCTTAATTCATCCTCTTTGTCTTTATATTCTTTCATATTTCCCTCTTTGTCTCACTAGGAGGAAGAACTCAGTACTGGTTTCTAATTTACTAAAACCTCTGTATCGTCTCTACTGGTTAAATCTATTAGCAAACACTATTTTAATTTCTAATCGTTTGTTTACAGTATTACTAATGGGTTTTGTTAATTTTATATACTCTGTTTTCATTTCCCTATCTAAGTGCAAGTTTATGGCACTGGAACCACAGATAGCTTCCTAAATCTAGCTTTTCACTATTGAAATTCTGATTAGTTAGCGTAACAGCTTTATATAAATTACAACCATGTATAAAGACCTTCTGAACACCAGTAGAAAATTTCAGTGTCCTCTGGTGATTAGCTATAAGCTCTATTCCTACTATTTTTCGTCAAATTGAAAACTATATGGCCTTTTGTTCTGTGTTTCACGTAACCGTCTCTTACTCATTGCCAACACTACAAATTTCCAAAGCACAAAACATAAACACTGCTGTAATGCCAAGCTCTGAAGTTAGTTTAGGAAAAGCTGAATCAGAAAATACTTCAACAGAAAAGCAATAAAACTTTCAGAAATATAGCCGGGCATGGTGGCTCACACCTGTAATCCCAGCACTTTGGGAAGCTGAAGTGGGCGGATCACAAGGTCAGGAGATCGAGACCATCATGGCTAACACGGTGAAACCCCGTCTCTACTAAAAATACAAAAAATTAGCCAGGCGTGGTGGCGGGCGCCTGTAGTCCCAGCTACTCGGGAGGCTGAGGGAGGAGAATGGCGTGAAGCCAGGAGGCGGAGCTTGCAGTGAGCCGAGATCGTGCCACTGCACTCCAGCCTGGGTGACAGAGCAAGACTCCATCTCAAAAAAAAAAAAAAAACTTTCAGAAATATTTATAACATTCCCAGTTGAAGTCGGCTTGGAAAAGAAGGGGTACTAAGACCAGCCTGGAAAACGTGGTGAAAGCCCAACTCTACTAAAAATACAAAAACTAGCTGGGCGTGGTGGCACCCGCCTGTAGTCCCAGCTACTTAGGAGGCTAAGGCAGGAGAATCACTTGAACCTGGGAGGCGGAGGCTGCAGTGAGCCAAGATCGTGCCACTGCACTCCAGCCTGGGCAACAGAGCAAAACTCCATCTCAAAAAAAAAAAAAAAAAAAAAAAAAAGAATAGGTACTAAGAAAAGAACAGGCAGTAAGAGAAGTAAAAAGGTGCATTTCTCATTACCATTTGCACTTATATTTCAGCTATTCTCCAAACAAGTGCAAACACAGCTATGACAACACTAAAGCAAAAGCTGGACCTATTGGGGAAAAACCAATGTTTGGACTTTCAGGGTTACCTTGACCTGGTTTTCCTGAAAGATAAAACAAAGACTGCTGTCCACATCAAAATCCTGGTTTATACTGTAAACACCTGTGGCAATCATTAAAGACTAGATTTAGACTTCACAGTAGATACAATAAAAGCTGCTGTCTCAGGGGAAATCTTCACATTTGATTTTTATTATGATATAGGCTAACGGCCAAGACAAAAACTAATAATCAGCATTGACCTTTTATATACTATGCATTTTCTTTAGGAACGCCACCAAAAACTCAAAAAGGATCACAGTATTTTTTTTGAAATTTTGTAAAAAGCTACCCCAACTGTTCGCTGTGGCCAACTGAGTTTACTGAGCGCTCTGGACAGTAAAGATACAACAGTACACAAAAAGCCCATTTACCGGGTTTAGATGCATCAATGCAATCTTAACAAACCAAGCATGTTTTCTGAACCAACCCATGTTACAAGCTCTTTAATTCACAGATCTAAAACTGCAGTTGATAATGCATTTCAGAAATGGGAGGTTCTTAGTCATTTTCATTTCTTCAGAGTTTTTGGGAAAATTCTATTTTATAATTTCAAAGAAAATAAGAAAACAAAGGAACCCTAACAGTTTTATTGGGGACAGAGAAAAAGAAAGCAAAACAAACAAGGTTTAGACAAGACTGACTTCAATTAGCTGTAGACAGGATGAACAAGCTACAGAGGTTTTGGTATAAGAGGTAAAGGAGAAAATGGATATCATTAGCCAGCATCATACTGCTGGGTTTCAACTTATCACCAGAGAAAATACTACCACAACCTTTTATATATACATCAAATGTATTACAGGTCATCTTGACAAGAATATAGCATTTCAGAGTTGACAGTGGTGCTTGATTAATTCAAAAACATGAACAAATTTTAAAAGGGAGACGATAAATTCATGTAAAGATACTGAATAACCAGATAGAACTTATTTCTCTTGAGACAGAGTCTCGCTCTGTCGACCAGGCTGGAGTGCAGTGGCGCGATCTTGGCTCACTGCAACTTCTGCCTCCTGGGTTCAAGCAATTCTCCTAACTGAGCTCCCCAAGTAGCTGGGACTACAGGCACACACCATCACCAGGCCCAGCTAATTTTTGTATTTTTAATACAGACAGGGTTTCACCATGTTGGCCAGGCCGGACTCTAACTCCTGACCTCAGGTGATCCACCCGCCTCAGCCTCTCAAACTGCTAGGATTACAGGCATGTGCGACCGTGCCTAGTCCAGACAGGACTATTTCTTGTGACACACAATACATCTTGAAATGATGATACTGTGCAAAATGTATTATCTACCACAGTAGACTATTCTTTCTTGGGAATAGAAACCATATATCTCATTCATCCCAACCTCCACAGTGTCTTGCAGAGTGCCACCATGACTAGACATGAACATCAGCTTTCCCACCTACTTACCAGCCTATAAAAGAAAATAAAAAACAGCCCTCCTGAAAGCCATGAAAAAATGGAACTCCATTCCATACCACAGTCAGTAATCCTTTCCAAGCCAGGGCTAAATTCTACAAGGCCTAAGAACCTTCCATCATATAGTATTTTACTATGGTTCATTGTCCTGTTGTATTAAAAACTCCTCTATGAGGCCAGGCACGGTGGCTCATGCCTGTAATCCCAGCAGTTTGGGAGGCTGAGGCGGGCAGATCATTTGAGGTTAGGAGTTCAAGATCAGCCTGGCCAACAGGGTGAAACCCTGTCTCTACTAAAAATACAAAAAAATTAGCCAGGTGTGGTGGCACACACCTGTAATCCCTGCTACTCGGGAGGCTAAGGCAGGAGAATCACTTGAACCGTGGGGCAGAGGTTGCAGTGAGCCAAGATTGTTGTGCCACTGCACTCCAGCCTGAGCGAAAAAGTGAGACTCTGCCTCACAGAGGGATAACTAAAATTAGTGTCAATAATTAAAAAGTGAATGACTAATAACAGTGTAACAAATCTTTTGGCAAGTCAGGTGGACGCAAGTCCTCTTTCAACAAAATTGAAGACAGACCTAATTCAGTTGTTAGCTGATAGGATAAAAACATTTTGATGCTAAAGAACTATGTAATTTAACATATAATTTAGAAACAGCTAAGAGAATTGAATAATAATTGCTGTAATAAAACTCTGTTTCTATTTACTCACTCATGAGACCAAGGGTTCTTGGCATTTATATGTTTAAAAAAATAAAACTACAATAGAATTGATGCTGACAAGCTATCTTTTTCTAGCAGTAAATAATATGCATCCAGAGATTAACGATTTAATGAGAACCAATATATCTCAAAAGAGCTGCATTTCCAATGATTTTTATATTTTCCTATTTTTTAGTCTGTTTTTTTTTTTTTTTTTTTTTTTGAGATGAAGTCGCTCTGTCACCCAGGCTGGATGGAGTGCAGTGGCACAATCTCAGCTTGCTGCAACCTCCGCCTCCCAGGTTCAAGCGATTCTCCTGCCTCAGCCTTCTGAGTAGCTGGGATTACAGACCCATGCCAACATGCCTTCTAATTTTTGTATTTTTTTTGTAGAGACAGAGTTTCACCATGTTGGCCCAGCTGGTCTCGAACTCATGACCTTGTGATCCGCCTGCCTCGGCCTCCCAAAATGCTGGGATTACAGGTGTCAGCCACCGTGCCTGGCCTTATTTTCATAGTAATATGTAAAATATCCATAATGTGATCAACTGTGTATTTATAATAAATTTTAATAATATCTCCGTAAAGAAAACATTTATATGCATATTTTAAGAGTTCCAAGCACAAGATGTTACTTTAGGCCAGTAGTTTTTAAAGTATGGTCTCTGAACAGTAACATCTCCGCCAACTGGTAACTTGCTAAAAACACAAACTCTGGATCCCAGTGCCCTAGTGAGTCAGCGTCTCTGAGGGGGGAAGCCAGTAATCCTTGTTTTAACGAACCCTATTAGGTAATTCAAATGCACACGCAAGCCCATTGTGGTGGCTCACGCCTGTAATCCCAGCACTCTGGGAGGCCGAGGCAGGCGGATCATCTGAGGTCAGGAGTTCGAGACCAGCCTGGCCAACATGGTGAGACCCCGTCTCTACTAGAAATACAAAAATTAGCAGGGCGTGGTGGCACACACCTGTAGCCCCAGCTACTAGGGAGGCTAAGGCACAAGAGTCGCTTGAACCCAGGAGGCGGAGGTTGCAGTGAGCCAAGATCACACCACTGCACTTCAGCCTGGACAACACAGCGAGACTCGGTCTCAAAAAAAAAAAAAAATGAATGAAACAAATGCACACTCAAGTTTCAAAACCATTTTTAAGAAAAAAATTCTAAAGGAGATGTAAAGAAGAAAACCCAACGCAAGGAGGAAAACCACTGTAAAATTTCGGCTATAAAGCTATTCATGTGTTTGTTAAACAGATAACAATGGATAAATCACTGATATTTTCATTCCACTGGATATGTTTAAAAGCAGGAAGTTGGCCAGGCGTGGTGGCTCACCCAGCACTTTGGGAGGCCGAAGCGGGCGGATCACAAGGTCAGGAGTTTGAGACCAGCCTGACCAACATGGTGAAACCCCGTCTCTACTAAAAATACAAAAATTAGCCGGGCATGGTGGCACACACCTGTAATCCCAGCTACTCGGGAGGCTGGGGCAGGGCAGGAGAATCACTTGAATATGGGAGGCGGAGGTTGTAGTGAGCTGAGATAGTGCCACTGAACTCCAGCCTGCGTGACAGGGGAAGATGTCGGGGGAGACTCCCATCTCAAAAAAAAAAAAAAAAAAGGACGAAGCTTTCATTTAAATTGTAAATATCAACAATATAAAATTTTATCCTTCACATCTTTTCAAGCAAAAAATTTTAAACATCAACTTTAACATGTATGAAGGTTGTATGTAAGTATATATTTTACAGAGTTCATAAGTTAAAAAAGGTGCATGATCACTAGTCCAGAACAGGATTTTTCAAACTGTAGTACTTGAACTAGCAGTAACTGGAATCATCTATGAGCTTATTAGAAATGCAAATTTCTGGGCTCCACCCAAACATACTGTGGTTTAACAAGCTCTCCAGGTGATTTTTATCCACATTTGAATTTGAGAGCCACTATTCTATTATAGACTAGAGCAGTTTTCAAAATTTAGTGTGCAGCTGGACCCAAATCCCACAGTTTCTAACTCAGTAAATCTGGGTGGGACCCAAACATTTGCATTTCTAACAACTTTCCCAGGTGATGATGACGATAATGATGCTGTTCCACAATCACACTTTGAGAATCACTGGTCTAGAGAGCTGTGGAAACTACATTCACATTATTCTAGGTCGATACTCAGAAGGTAAGCCCCTTCCCTGATCCTTCAAATCAGGTCCCCCAACATGTTCTCTCATGTATTTTCCTTATACAGTTTCTTTTTCTTTTTTTTTTTTTTTTGAGATGGGAGTTTCACTCTTGTCGCCCACGCTGGAGTGCAATGGCGCAATCTCAGCTCACCTCAACGTCTGCCTCCTGGGTTCAAGCAATTCTTCTGCCTCAGCCTCCCGAGCAGCTGGGATTACAGGCATGCGCCACCATGCCCAGCTAATTTTGTATTTTTAGTACAGACAGGGTTTCTCCATGTTGGCCAGGCTGGACTTGAACTCCCGACCTCAGGTGATCCGCCCCCGCCCGTTGGCCTCCCAAAGTGCTGGGATTACAGGTGTGAGCCACCGCGCCCAGCCTGCAATTTCCTGTTTTAACGACTCATCACACAATTACTTAACATCTGTTTTGCTCATTGAGTTCAACCAAGTTAAAGAACCACATGAATTTTCCTCTTTCTGTATACCCAACACAAGTATAATGTCTGCCTCATAGTAGATATTAAATAAATATTTATTGATAAATAACTGAATATTTGTTGGGTAAAACTGATGTTTCATGGAATTAAAGATAACATAGCTAAAGCTGTTATTAGAATGCCAACAATCCTAGTTTGCCCACAACTGTATCCCAAATGTTAAGAGCAATAACATTCTCTTATCTCAAGGCTATGCAACCTAAATATGAACAGTAAGATCAAAAAACAAGGCAAAATCTGAAGAAGGCATTTTTCAACTTGTTTTTCAATCCCATTCTTAACCTAGCCTTTAAACAGTATTCTTTTATTATGCAAGTACAAATAAAATCAAGGTTTATTCAATGATAAAATTAACACTACTACCAAGAAACTCAACACTTTAAGGCAGTTTTCGCATTGAAGTTGGTGCGAGACTTATGAACTTACCCTCTTTAGCCAAATATAACTCCTTAAATTTTGCTCTCTTTTGATTAAATTCTTGTTCAAGCTGCTGTTGTGCACGTAAAAATTCTGCATTAATTTTTTCCAATTCTGCTACCCGTTGCTGAAGAGAAACTGGGGGAAAAAAACACTAGTTAACAAGTAATAACTTTTATTCATAAATTTATAAAACAGTAAATTAGTATTCTAGCTGTACATTGCTATACGTGAAACAAGTAGTCAAGCTTCTTCCAAAAATCCACCATATGCTAGGATATTCTAATGTTTAAAAAAAGTAAGACAGACCAGGCATGGTGGCTCACGCCTGTAATCCCAGCACTTTGGGAGGCCGAGGCGGGCGGATCACCCGAGGTCAGGAGTTCGAGACCAGCCTGGCCGACATGGAGAAATCCCATCTCTATTAAAAATACAAAAATTAGCCAGGTGTAGTGGCAGGTGCCTGTAATCCCAGCTACTCAGGAGGCTGAGGCAGGAGAATCGCTTGAACCCGGGAGGCGGAGGTTGCAGTGGGCCGAGATCGCACCACTGCACTCTAGCCTGGGTGACAGAGTGAGACTCTGTCTCAAAAAAAAAAAAAAAGATCCTTGTATTAGACTTAATACACAACTGTAAATGAGTCATGTAAAGTGAAACCACAAATATACAGAGAATCACATAAGGCCAACTTCCCCACAAAAAAAAGAGCTTCTAAAGTGCCTTTGTGCAACTGAATAGCAATTTAATTTTAGAACTGTTAAATATTGGATTATTTGAACTACTTATCCCACAAATGAACCTACTGCCAATCTTGCTATTTCCCATTTCTCTCAAGTGTCACAAGCAAAATCTAATAGGTTCCCTAACTAGTGTAGCCATACCAGACTGAACTATTCTTCCAACTTCAAAATGATCCATTACCATTATACTGAGATCATAATCAAAAACCCATTCATAGAGAGGATACAGAACTGCACATTCTATATAAACTCTCAATTACTGGGAGATAATCTGGTTTTCTTCCATGTTTTCAACATTGATCATGGTGTGCGGAGATTAGCAGACTTTTTACTTTATGGACTCTATAATTTGGACACAGCTGGTTAAATGATTGCCTTCCCTGACCAAACCCAGGGGTTCCTTTGATTGAAGCATAAGATAGGAGGTCCAGCTGTGCAAACCCCTGATCTCCCCTTTTGCCCCAACAGCATCCCAGCCTTAAAGCTATGACCATAATCCCTTTAGGGGATATCGGTTAGTACTAATCAACCACTAACTACTTAGGCCAGCAGAGGGCCAAGTTTCCTACTGCAAGTCACTCCAGATAATGATGATTTGCCTAGAATTTTAATCAAGATCTGAGATTATCTTTGAAGGCTATCCCCTCTCCCAATCACTCAATTTAATTGAGAGCTGATTTTAAAATGTATAGAAAAAAAGACTGGAAAAAATGTACCAATGATTTATCTATGAGTAACAGAATTATGGCTCATTAATTTCTTCCATATGCTTTTGAGACGGAGTCTCCCTCTGTTGCCCAGGCTACAGTGCAGTGGGGCGATCTCGGCTCACCGCAAATTCTGCCTCCCAGGTTCAAGCAATTCTCCTGCCTCAGCCTCCCAGTTAGCTGGGACTACAGGCATGTGCCACCACGCCTGGCTAATTTTTGTATTTTTAGTAGAGACGGGGTTTCACATGTTGGTCAGGCTGGTCTCTAACTCTTGACCTCAAATGATCCACCCACCTCGGCCTCCCAAAGTGCTGGGATTACAGGCATAAGCCACCGCACCTGGCCTTCCATAAGCTTCTCAAAGTTCTCTTCTATGCAGATATGTATTCCTTTGACAATGAACTAAAACCAACACAGATGGTTCAAACTGATGGTTTCACTTACAATTTTTCCACTTTATTATGGTACTCATACAACCATTCTCTTTTTTACTTTCAACTTTCACTAGAGGATTCAATAAATTACATGAGATATACAACATTTTACTATAACTTGATAAATGTTAGCTGTTAGCTGTCATTATTAAATTGGTGGTATTTATTTAATGAGTAACAAAAAAAAGTAGCAATCAAATGACCTTGTATATAGCCAGAAAAGACCAGAAGTCACTTCCAACCTCATGATTCTGACTCAGTTCCATGCTTAGACTTCCAGCTTATACCCTCCTCTATTATCATGTATCTTTTTTTTTTTTCAGACAGAGTCTCACTCTGTCACCCAGGCTGGAGTGCAGTGGTGCAATCTTGGCTCATTGCAACCTCCGCCTCCCGGACTCAAGCAATTCTTCTGCCTCAGCCTCCCGAGTAGCTGGGAGTACAGGCACATGCCACCACGCCCAGCTAATATTTGTATTTTTAGTAGAGACAGGGTTTCACCATGTTGCCCAGGCTGGTCTTGACCTCCTGACCTCAGGTGATCCACCCACCTCGGCCTCCCAAAGTGCTGCGATCACAGGCATGAGCCACCGTGCCCGGCCTACCATGTATCTTTATAGCATCGTGAACAAACTAATTACCATAATGCCAGCCTTCAACAATATTAAACCTTCTGAAATTTACAAGGCTGAGAATGTAAGTATGCCAGCCTTTGTCAACAATAGGCTTTCTGTTAGAAGATTTTGCCCAGCTGCAGGCTAATATAAGCATTCTGGGTACATTTAAGGTAGCTAGGCTAAGCTATGATGTTCCGTAACTTAGGTATATTAAATGCATTTTATGTTATTTCCAATTTATAATGGGATATAGCCCCATGGTAAGTCGAGAAGCATCGCTATGTGTTCATTCCCATGAGACCTTGAAACTAGCCTCACTATAGATTTAATAGTGTAAGTGCAATCATTGCCGAAAGAGGATGACTGCTGGTTTGAGTTCCATGTCACTAATGGTAATTTTTGAGGAACTAACATGTAGGGTCTCTAAGTCAAAGCACTGACTTCTGGTCAACTGAAGGTTTGATAACTTTGAGAAAAAGAGGGATGAGAAATCCACTGGAAGGAAAATGTGCAATTATCTCATATTACCCTTTGAAATCATGAAAGAAATCTGTTCTCTGTGCTAATTCTGCTGGTATTTTTATTGTTAAATCCACATTGTTTAATAAGTTAAACAACTTTTCCACTTAACACTTTAGTATTACTGGTAGCTACTGATTAGTACAGAGGTAACAAAGGGCTCTGGGGAATCAAGGAAAGAGAAAAACCAAAATCCCTCTGTTCTTATTTTTCTCTAATAAGATGTATCCCCTCCTATCCCTACCTTCTACCAAAATGCACACATAACCGAAACACCCATACCCCTCAACATTAATATATTTATAATTAGGAAATGAGGCAAATGAATCAACAAAACAAAAATGCAGCTGTTAAAGATGCAGCCAAGATTAAGTATGTTTCCATTACTCCCAACCCCTTCATGGCTCTGACCCACAGTTTAGACCCACTCTATACCCACAAAGCCTGGCTCTCTCCAGGCTTCAGGACAGTGTTCAGTTCTAGAAATCATGATCTTTTGAGAGTATATCGAGTAATTGTCTTATTTTATTTTTAAGAAGTGATCATCCACCTCAAGTACTTCTAACATACTGCAATTCTACAATATAGAAAGACAAAAAAAACTGCTTTTTACAAGAATGCCTTTACTACAACATCGAGACAAATCGATTCACTCTCAATATGAGAAAGTTTACAAATAAGCATATCCTAATGCATTAGCAACCAACCACAAATCAAGGAGAAAATAGCTCTCATCACACAAAATGCTGTATTATTTTTTATAACATGGTAACTAATAGGTCACTATCATTAGCTAATAGTTCATGTAAAAAGTACTTAGTGTGGCATATAGAACAAACTTGATAAGTGTTAGCTGTCATTATTAAATTGGTAGTATTTATTTAATGAATAAAGAAAAAAAGTAGTGATCAAATGACTTTGTATGTAGCCAGAAAAGACCAGAAGTCACTTCCAACCTCAAGATTCTGACTCAGTTCCATGCTGAGACTTCCAGCTCATATCCTTCCCTATTACCATGTATCTTTATAGCATCATGAACAAACTAATACTAATTACTGTAATGCCAGCCTTCAACAAAATTAAACCTTCTGAAATTTAGAAGGCTGAGAATATCAGTATGCCAGCCTTTGTCAACAGTTCCACACATCCCGTATTTGTTGCCTTCATTTGAGCAATAAGAAAAAGGGAGAAATTATCTAATCCATTGCCTACTTTTTTTTTTTTTCCTTGAGACAGAGTTGTTGCTTTGTTGCCCAGGCTGGAGTGCAGTGGCGCAATCTTGGCTCACTGCAACCTCCATCTCCTGGGTTCAAGCGATCCTCCTGCCTCAGCCTCCCAAGTAGCTGGGATTACAGGAGCCTACCACCATACCCGGCTAATTTTTTTGTATTTTTAGTAGAGACAGGGCTTTACCACATTAGCCAGGCTAGTCTCGAACTCCTGATCTCAGATGACTCACCCGCCTCAGCCGTCCAAAGTGCTAGGATTACCGGTGTGAGCCACCACATCCAGCCATGCAATGGCTACTTATAATGCTTGACATCCAAAGGGAAAAATGACTATGTCACTCAATTCAGAATGTCTCAAATAGCAACAGCAATACAAAACGAAAAAAGAATACAATAAATAAATGGAGTAAAGACCTAATAATAATTTTGATATAAACAAGAGAACACGCAATAACTTAAAATATTTCTAAGACTCAAGCTGTGTCCTACTACTACGTTCCTCTTACAAGTAAAACAATATAATAAATTTTTATTTATTTTTTTTTTTTGAGATGGAATTTCGCTCTTGTCGCCCAGGCTAGAGTGCAATGGTGCAATCTCGGCTCACAGCAACCTCTGCCTCCTGGGGTTCAAGTGATTCTCCTGCCTCAGCCTCCCAAGTCGCTGAGATTACAGGTGCCCACCACCACTCACAGCTAATTTTTGTACTTTTAGTAGAGATGGGGTTTCACCATGTTGGCCAGGCTGGTCTCAAACTCCTGACCTCAAGTGATCTGCCCGCCTTGGCCTCCCAAAGTGCTGGGATTATAGGTGTGAGCCACCACACCTGGCATCTTTACACTAAATTTGATAAAGACATAAGCAATGTGAAATTTACTACGACCAAAACCTTTTTGTTTAATGATGTTCAAAATCCAAGAAAACACCTATTTCAATCAATTTACAACAAAAAATAACTCCAGTGGGATCAAAGAATCTGAACAGTTCCTAAAACTCATATGTCTTATCTTGTTTCTCACTGGATTTTAAAATAAAACTATTGGACAGGCACAGTGGCTCATGCCTGTAATCCTAGCACTTTCAGTGGCCAAGGCAAGTGGATCTCTTCAGGACAGGAGTTCAAGACCAACCTGGTCAATGTGGCGAAACCCTGTCTCTACCAAAAATACAAAAATTAGACGGACGTGATAGTGCGTGCCTGTCATCTCAGCTACTTGGGGGACTGAGGCACAAGACTTGCTCGAACCTGGGAGGCAGAGGTTGCAGTGAGCCAAGATCGCACCACTGCATTCCAGCCTGGGTGACAGAATGAGATCCTATCTCAAAAAAAATAAAATAAAATAAAATAAAACTATTAAGTATGGTAGGTATATCCTACCCATCCTACATATTCATTCAGTGAAGTAATACCAAGCCAGAAAAAGTTATATTAAGTAAATACATTATACATAGCACAGTATGAGCTACACAAAAATTATATAGAAAAAAAGACTGTAATGAATATCCAAAATGGCATTCAGAGTAGTAAAAGAATTATGCTGATGAGATTTAAATCAAAAGGCAATGAGATGCTTTATCTTTCTTGTTTTAAGAATTATTTTATTGCTCTACCTCAATCTATTTGCTCATAAAAAAGTATTCATAATTTAATGGTCTTAAAATATTTCAACACAAAAAAAATCATTTTTTAAATTTTGCTCTTAAGAAACTCACAGTCTATAAAATCATTTTTTAAACTACACTTAAGATTTTCCTAGCCAGGCCCAGTGGCTCACATCTATAATCCCATTACTTTGGGAGGCCAAGGTGGGAGGACTGCTTGAGGCCAGGAGTTTGAGACCAGCCTGGGCAACAGAGTGAGATCCCATCTCTACTAAAAATACAAAAATTAGCCAGGTGTGGTTGTGTGTGCCTGTCGCTTGCGCCTGGGAGGTTGAGGCTGCAGTAAGCCAAGATGGCACCACTACACTCCAAAAAAAAAAAAAAAAAAAGTCTAAAAAATTAAAAAGCTTATAAGGTAACTTTATAGACTAAGGTAAGCTGGCCGGGTGTGGTGGCTCATGACTGTAATCCCAGCATCTTGGGAGGCCGAGGGGGATGGATCGCCTGAGGTCAGGAGTTCGAGACCAGCCTGGCTAATATGGCAAAACCCTATCTATACCAAAAAAACAAAAATTAGTTGGGCATGGTGGCGGACGCCTGTAGTCCCAGCTACTCGGGAGGCTGAGGCTTGAGAATTGCTTGAACTGGGGAGGACAAGGCTGCAGTGAGCTGAGATCGCACAACTGCCCTCCAGCCTGGGCAACAGAGCAAGACTCCATCTCAAAAAAAAAAAAAATGTTTTCAGTAACATTCCCCTAAATCTGCTCCCTTAGAGATTTTGGTTCTGCTCTCCAGAATGAGAGCAGATTTTCTAGTATCTGAAATTTCACACCCACCGTTTTCTTCTCCAGATTTCTCCTAATCATGATTTCTAAATGCTTCATTATCCAAGTTGCTCACCCTTCAAACTAAACTTAGTCAAAGTTCCACATAAAATATGACAGTCTGATCTAAACACAAAACCAGCATAGAGTCTAATAGAAATATCTCCTTTCTTCAGAGGACCATACCCTTAACAATGTATGGTAAATCTACTCTAGCTTTTTTGCCACAACCCCATACTGTTATTGTTATCCCATAAGATTAATGTAATCCAACACTGTCCTTAAACCCTTCCCACTTGAACTGCTATTAAACCAAGGCTCCTCTTACAACCTGAAGCTAGTGCAGTTTTAACCATGGCGCAGGTGGTTGATTTTTTTTTTTTTTAAACAAAGTTATTGGTTAGGCCTAAGAGACCCTTGGTATATCACCTGAAATCTTGGTGGAGGTTGATATTGATTTATTACTCTAAGTTTGGTATGCAGACTGTTACTGGTCTAAGAATGAGATAAGGAGTTTGTGCCACAACGTAAAATAAACTAAGACACTAAGCACATTGCTTAGTTCTACTGACATTTTTCAATGAAGAAAGCAGTACATGGATTTATATTCTGGTTCAGGTTCCTTGTGCCCTAGAAGACCATTAAAAACAGTTTGTGGACAGGTTACTTTCAGTAGTACTGCTATAGTTGACAACTGCCATATCCATGGCTGTCTATCAATCCTTTGCATAGTCTTCTTACATTTAAAGAAATTTCCATTTTATGAGTTTCAGCTTCCCAAAATAGAAGTCAAATACAAATCCCCAATCTCCCTTAAAACCAGAATGCAGGCATGTGACCCAGCCTCCTCCAATCAAACACACTCAAATGCAACTTCAATTCAGAATAGAGCAGTGTAAAGAAACGAGGTTCCATTCTCATTGCTGTAAGACTTTTAGTCGTGTCCCAGTGGTATAGGTCTAGCTCCTGAATCAGAAATGGTATCAGTCCAAGCAGCAGAGACAACAGCATTAAAGTGAATTTCTATAGGCCAGCAGCACCAGAGGCAAGTTTCCTGTAAGGTCAGTTCTAGAGCAGCTTTTGGGTATTCCTTAAAGTTTAGCATAAAGGAGTGATTCTCCAAGTGTAGCTCTGGGACCACAACATCACCATCACCTGGAAACTTGTGAGAAGTTCTCAGGCCCCATCCCAGGCTTCCCGGAATCAGAAATTCTGGAGATGGGGCCCGGTAACATGCTTAACAAGCCCTTTTAGATGCAGGCTAAAGTTTGAGAATCATCTAGAATCTCTCTCCCTTGCCCTCCCAATGACTCTGTAAGCAACTTCATATCTTCTCAAAAATACCTTTTCTGCTTAGACCAGACAGGACAAATTGTTTTGTTTGCAACCAAGAAGCTTGGGCAAAACATACTGTCACTCCCACTACCATACTCTTAAAGACTGCTCATAGGGTGCTAAGCAATGATTAAACAATAATAACAAACATCTACAAGGAATTAACAAGAGTTAGAGGGTAGGAAACACTTGAAAAATCTGCTTACGATCAACCTGGCTGATTTCATAACATCATACGGGGATGGGGGAGCACATACTGACTTCCTTCTCAAGAGTACAGTATAGAAAGGTCCCCCCGCTTGCACCCCAAGAAAGAGAGAGAAACTTGACCAATACTACCTCAGTAGGGGTGGTCAAGGCTACACATCACTGATAAGCCATGTATGTAACCTTGATGTGACACAAAGAAAACGATACTTTACCCATGTGCTCTTCCTCCCAAGACGCTATGTCAGTCTAATCATGAGAAAAACATCACACAGATCCCAATTTAGGGACATTCTGCAAAATACCTGACCAGTACTTCTTAAAACTGGCAAGATCATCAAACCAAAGTCACAGAAACTTTCACAGTCTAGAGAAGCCTAAGGAGGCCTGGCAACAAAATGTAATGTAACAGCCTTCAAGCTTAACAGAAATGAAAAACTCATGCACTTGAATGCTTAGCTGGGTAGATTTTCCTTCCCATCTAACTGCATATTATACTCTATAAGACCCAGTCATATCTCCTAATATAACCCTCAGTTTTGCCTGGAGTCCAATCAGAGAGAAAAAGCAGTTTAGAAATGAGTGTAGGCCAGGCACGGTGGCTGATGCCTGTAATCACAGCACTTTGGGAGGCCGAGGTGGGCAGATCATGAGGTCAAGAGATCAAGAGCATCCTGGCACACATGGTGAAACCCCATCTCTACTAAAAATACAAAAATTAGCCGGGCATGGTGGCAGGAGCCTGTAGTCCCAGCTACTCAGGAGGCTGAGGCAGGAGAATCGCTTGAACCCAGGAGGCAGAGGTTGCAGTGAGCCGAGATCACGCCATTGCACTCCAGCCTGGCGACAAGGAGAGACTCTGCCTCCAAAAAAAAAAAAAAAAGAAAAAGAAAAAGAAAAGAAAAAAAGAAAAAGAAATGAGTGCAGAGAGCAGCTTGAATAGCCCTGTAAATGAGAAACAAACCCCAATGACAGCAGAGAGGACTGGGTCACAAGGCAAAAATAAAACCGTGACTAAAAATGAATTCAGAACCACGTAATATAAGGGCAAACAAAACTAACTGAAAACACACTTCAGTGGCCCTAGGGACTCATTAGCTTACCGCTCAGTACCAAAACTAACTTCCATAATACTAAGTCCTCAATAAAAGATTAAATGATGCCCAGTGTTCTCTGTTTAAGGATAATAGTGATAATAGTGATTTAAGTAAAACTGCTTAAAAAAAAAAAAAAAACCTGCTACACACCTAGTACCCAGACTGTGTTCTCTAAATGACATTCCCCACTAAAAGGAACTAGGGATCCTTAGGAAAAAGGACCAATTCCAGGTCCAGGGCAGGAAGTGTACAAGATAAGCCTGGAACATCTTGTCTGTTAAGGTTATATAAAAAGATTTAGGAGTCAATGTAAAGAGGCCACACACTGGCCAAAAATGAGACAGTTTGGGTATCAGTGTGGTAGGCTGAAACTTCCTCCCACCACACCCCCTCCACACACACACAAGTGCGCACGACAACTGGGGAATATGTGAACACAGAATGGATATTTGGTGTTACTGTTAACTGGTTTTAGGTGTTATAATAGCATTGTGGTACGTTTACACATACACTGAAATATTTCCAAATAAAATCACAGATTCCTAGTTTAAAATCCTGGAGGAGGCCGGGCACAGTGGCTCACGCCTGTAATCCCAGCACTTTGAGAGGCTGAGGCGGGCGGATCACGAGGTCAGGAGATCGAGACCATCCTGGCTAACACGGTGAAACCCCATCTCTACTAAAAATACAAAAAATTAGCCGGGCGTGGTGGCGGACGCCTGTAGTCCCAGCTACTCAGAAGGCTGAGGCAGGAGAAAGGCATGAACCCGGGAGGCGGAGGTTACAGTGAGCTGAGATCTCGCTACTGCACTCCAGCCTGGGCGACAGAGCGAGACTCCGTCTCAAAAAAAAAAAAAAAAATCCTGGAGGAGGTGGGAGTTATACGTGAGACTGGCCATACATTAAGAATCATGACACATGGAAGGTGGTGACTCTACATACTAATATTTTTAAGTGTTTAAGAAGCTCCATATGAAGATATAACGAGGCATTATGCACATACACACACAATTCAGAGTGGAGAACTATTCATAAAGAATATCATAATCTCTGGTTATTACCAGTTCCTCTAATATAAACAGTAATTGGTTTAGAATAGTCTTAAGATTTCTATCATTTACAAGAAAAAAGCCTAATGCAACAAAAAACACCTCTTAGAACCATATTTAATTATACCGTAAAACGAATCAAATTCCCTATATATACTCTTCCCTTGATTGTAACATAGAAAATTTTAAAATGTAGATGTAATTCCTTATCTCCCTACACTTGGGTTATAAAAAGGCTACACATTAGCTATAAACTCTACAGTGGGGGTTACTTATCAGAAGAAAAGTTCTTCTAAATAAATAATAAAAACACAGGGTTATATTTTATTTACAAGGAAAGTTGGCTGCATTATTTATGGGCTTTTCCGAAATAGCAAGGTCATACACAGAGAGGGAACAGAATTTTTAATAAATAGCTATCTGCCTACATGTGGATGAAGGAGATTAACTGTATGTCTCAGGAAGGGAACACAAGAACCAAGAGGAAAGAGAAGTCTTAAGGAAAGAACGCTGATGTTAACACTTGGGAGGAAACTCTTGATTAAAGCTACAGAAAATGAAATGTGTAATTGAGCTAACAATCAAGTATCCATTGCCTATTTATCAACTATTATATGAGAAGCCATAGAGCATAACAGCTGAGAGCACAGGCTCTGGAATTAAACTAGGGTTTGAATCCCAGCCCTCCCACTAAGCTGGTTCCTTCTCTCCATCTGTAACAAGGGGGACTAATAATAGGACTATCTTCTAGCTTTGTAGTAAGGATTAAATAATTCACAAATAGCTCTTCATGGAGTATCAGGCAAGTTATTTTATACACTGGCTCATTAAATTTTCAAACCAAACCATAAAATAGGCATTATCACCCCAGTTACAGATGCAGAAACATTCTAAGATTAAGCTAACCTATTGATATACAGCTAGTAAGTAGCAGAGCTGGATTCAAACACTGACCTGCCTGGTTCCAAGGCCTAGCTGGATTTCCCCATGATTACAGGTGTTTAATAGAGGAGATTCATGAGTCACATGAGCAGAAGTTGTAAACGGTGTAATACCACCTCCTAGGGATGTTCTTCTTTTATGCAGTCACACTGTTCATTTATACGTTGAAATCTGTAAGCAATCTGTATTAATTACAAATTATTTTCCTTTACAATAAAGGCATTATGCTGTTAGGTTTTGGGGTTTTTAAAAAAGTCTTGTGTACAATTTTATATCAGAATGGTAAAGGGGGTATCCTAAAGCATTTTGTCATAAACCAGTGGTTCTCAACTAAAGGTCATTATACAATTTCACCACCAAGAATTTATCCTAAGGAAATAATCATAGATATGTATAAAGACATAATTGCAAGAATATTGACTGCAGTATCAGTTAAAATTCCAAAACATTCGGAAAAAGTCAATATCTAACAATAGAAAACTAACAAAAAGCTGGGCACAGTGGCTCACGCCTGTAATCCCAGCACTCATGGAAGCTGAGGCAGGCAGATCATTTGAGCCAAGAGTTCGAGACCAGTCTGAGCAACATGGTGAAACCTCTTCTCTACAAAAAATAAAAAATTAGCCAGATGTGGTGGTGCACACCTGTAGTCCCAGCTGCTCAGAAGGTTGAGGATCAACTGACCCCACGGGGTCAAGGCTACCGTGAGCCATGACTGTACCACTGCACTCCAGCTGGAGCTACAGAGTGAGACCTTGCCCACCCCAACCAAAAACAAAAAGAAAATAAAATTGACAAAATAAATTATGCAATAGCTATACAAGTTAAGATGAATCTTGAAAGAGAACATAAATTCTATCAAATGTTCAGAGAATATTTTCTATACTACTTAAACTGTCCTCAACATAGAAAAAAATGAAATGTTTCCCGTTTTACCAAGCTAGTATAATCAAGATACCAAAACCAGGCTGGGCACGGTGGCTCACACCTGTAATCCCAGCACTTTGGGAGGCCAAGGCGGGTGGATTACCTGAGGTTGGGAGTTTGAGACCGGCCTCATCAACATGTAGAAACCCAGTCTACTAAAAATACAAAATTAGCCGGGTGTGGTGGCACATGCTTGTAATCCCAGCTACTTGGGAGGCTGAGGCAGGAGAATCACTTGAACTTTGGAGGCGGAGGTTGTGGTGAGCTGAGATAGCACCATTGCACTCCAGCCTGGGCAACAAGAATGAAACTCTGCCTTAAACAAACAAAAAAAAGATACCAAAACCCAATGCAGTACCAAAATGGAAAACTACAAGCCAATCTCACTTATGAATATAATCGCAAAAATTCTCGAACCTTAGCAAATCAGATCTAGCTACATACTACAATAACAATCCATCACAACCAAGTTGAGTTCATCTGAAGTGCGCAAAAACAAACATCCAGAAATCCATTAATGCAATCCGTTTTGTTAAACACATCAAAAAGACCTGAGATAATCTCAGTGAATTTTAAAGAAAAGTAAAGGAATTAGAGAGGAAACAGCTATGAGAAACAGACTATCCAATATAAGGATGATCCATGTGCCTGAAGTAGAGAACCCAACAAATGTAACTAAGAAAACAGTAGAAGATTTAAAGGAATAAATAGTCCCAAAAAGAAATCAGAACTAAATCTACAAAAAATAATGATGTGGCAAACAGGCCCACAGAGGAAGAAAGCAGAAAACTGAAGAAACTCAGATCTTTGACATCCTTGAGCAGCTGAACCAAATTTAGAATGCTCTACTTGTGAACGTGTAACACACAGAAAAACTGAACCCTTCACTTTTGAAGCTACTAGGGGTTGGCTTTCCAGTTGGTCTCAGACAGTTATTCCTAATGACACAAAAGAACATATAAAAACTTAAATGTATCAAAAGTATCAAATTTTAAATGTATGTAAACTTTGACAGAACAGGGATTTAGCAGAGGGAAGTATTTGGCTAAATATTTAGAGACACATGTATCAGGATGTTTGCCGCAGTGTCCTTTGAAATAGAAAAAAATAAAAACAATACTTACTAAGAGGGTTAATTAAACCTATTATGGAATCCATACATTAGAATACTATTGTTACATACCATTAAAAATAACTTTTTTTTTTTTTTTGAGACGGAATCTTCCTCTGTTGCCCAGGCTGGAGTGCAGTGGCATGATCTCAGCTCATGGCAACCTCCACCTCCTGGGTTCAAGGGATTGTCCTGCCTAAGCCTCTCTCAAATAGCTGGGATTACAGGTGTGCACCACCACGCCTGGCTAATTTTTGTTATTTTTTTTTAGTAGAGACGGGGTTTCACCATGTTGGTCAGGCTGGTCTCGAACCCCTGACTTCAGGTGATTTGCCCGACTCGGTCTCCCAAAGTGCTGGGATTACAGGTGTAAGCCACCGCATCTGTCCTCAAAAATAACATTATTTAATAATACATCATGAACATCTCTTCATTTAAGTGGGAAAAAACATGCTATAAAAGTACTGTAATTTTCTATCAAATTTTTACGTTTTTTTTTAAACATATTTTATACATATGAAACTCTAAAAAGACAATACCGTTGGCCGGGCACGGTGGCTCACGCCTGTAATCCCAGCACTTTGGGAGGCCGAGGCCGGCAGATCACAAGGTCAGGAGATCGAGACCACCCTGGCTAACGTGATGAAACCCTGTCTCTACTAAAAATACAAAAATTAGCCTGGCGTGGTGGCAGGCGCCTGTAGTCCCAGCTACTCGGGAGGCTGAGGCAAGAGAATGGCGCAAACCCAGGAGGCAGAGCTTGCAGTGAGCCGAGATCGCGCCACTGCACTCCAGCCTGGGTGACAGAGCGAGACTCCATCTCAAAAAAAAAAAAAAAAAAAAAAAAAAAAAAAAGACAATACCGTTTTCCCTCAGTATCTGAGGGAAATTGGTTCCAGGACCTCTCAGATACCAAAATCTGATGATATTCAAGTCCCTTATATAAAACAGTGTAGTATTTGCATATAACTTATGCATATTCTCCCATGTACTTTAAATCACCTCTAAATAACTTATAATACCTAATACAATGTAAATACTATGTAAATAGTTGTCATACTGCATTTTTTAATTTGTATTCTTATTGTTTTATTGGTTTATTTTCTTGAGTTGGAGTCTCACTGTCACCCAGGCTGGAGTGCAGTGGCGCCACCTCAGCTCACTGCAACCTCCGCCTCCCGGGTTCAAGCAGTTCTCCTGCCTCAGCCTCCTGAGTAGCTGGGATTACAAACGCGTGTCACCACGCCCAGCTGACTTTTGTATTTTTAGTAGACAGGGTTTGTCAGACTGGTCTCGAACTCCTGACCTCATGATTCCCCCGCCTCAGCCTCCCAAAGGGTTTATTTTCAATCCCCAGATGGTTGAATTCATGAAAGTGGACCCCGCAGATACAGAGGGCTAACTGTATACCAAAGTGTTAATAAACTGTCTTTGCTGACTGTTCACTTTACACTTTTTTTGCATTTTCTTAGTTGTCTGCAATGGGCAATATAAATTTTATCTGTAATTATAAAATAATTATAGAAAGAAAATTAATGACAAGTGCAAGATGTGGAAGATCCAACTTGACAAACAGCTCACATAGAAACAACTTAATAATTGAAATGATGTAGAAAAAAATTGGCCACTGTTTAAAAATAAATTTAAACACTAACAACATAAGTTATGAGCAGCTATCTAATTGATTTTGCGACAGAGAACATCTTTGAAAATGTCAAAATATTACCAATAAGTTTGTCCAAGTGAAATTTTAGATTTCTTTATAACAAAAATTATCCCAATGGCCAGATGCAGTGGCTCACACCTGTAATCAAAGAACTTTGGGAAACTGAGGCAGGTGGATCCCTTGAGCCCAGGAGTTTGAGACCAGCCAGGGCAACAAAGGGAGATTCTGTCTGTACAAAAAATACAAAAATTACCTAGGCATGGTGGCATGTGCCTATAGGGCCCTCAGGAGGCTGAGGTGAGAGGTCAAGGTTACATTGAGCCGTGATCACACCACTGCACTCCAGCCTGGGTGATGGAGAGAGACCCTGTCTCAAAAAAATAAATTACCCCAAAAGCCAAAATAAGAAAAAACATGGAAAATACCTGTAAATATCTGTAACAAATAAAAAACAAAGGCCAATGTCTATGAAGATATTATATACAAAGAGATATATATAGAGAGAAAGATATACAGATTTTTTTTTTTGAGGGGGGAGACAGAGTTTCCCTCTTATTGTCCAGGCTGGAGTGCAATGGTGCAATCTCGGCTCACTGCAACCTCTACCTCCCAGATTCAAGCGATTCTCGTGCCTCACCCTCCCAAGTAGCTGGGATTACAGGCACGCACCACCACACCCAGCTAATTTTTGTATGTTTAGTAGAGACGGGGTTTCATGTTAGTCAGGCTGGTCTCGAACTCCTGACCTCAAGGGATCCACCTGCCTCAGTCTTCCAAACTGCTGAGATTATAGGCATGAGCCACCACACCTGGCCAATATTTATAAATTAATAAGAAAATGAACAAGGCACAGCAGCTCATGCCTGTAATGCCAGCACTTTGAGATGCCAAGGCAGGCAGATGGCTTGAGCCCAGAAGTTCAAGACCAGCCTGGGCAACATGGAAAAACCTTATCTCTACTAAAAATACAAAAACTAGCGAGGCATGGTGGTGCATGCCTGTAGTCTCAGCTACTCCAGAGGCTGAGGTGAGAGGATCACCTGAGCCCGGAAAGCAGAGATTGCAATCGGGCAAGATCGCACCATGCCACCAGACTCCAGCCACAGAGCAAGACCCTGTCTCAAAAGCAAATAAATAAAGGCCAGGTGCAGTGGTTCACACCTGTAATCCCAGCACTTTGGGAGGCCAAGGTGGGTGGATCACATGAGGTCAGGAGTTCCAGACCAGCCTGATCAACATGGTGAAACCCTATCTCTACTAAAAATACAAAGTTAGCCAGACACAGTGGCACACACCTGTAATCCCAGCTACTCGGGAGGCCGAGGCAGAACTGCTTGAACCCAGGAGGTGGAGGTAGCAGTGAGCCAAGATCGCGCCACTGCACTACAGCCTGGTAACGAAGCGAAACTCCATCTCAAAAAAAAAGTAAATAAACTAAAAATTTAATAAGAAAGGGGTAAAGGACATCATGAGGCAATGCACACAAAAAAATGGCCAATATATATATTTTTTAAAAAATCAAAAACAAAAAAAGGAAAAAAATGAACAAAAGCCAATCATACTAAAACTGCAACTAAAATCAGTCAGATACCATTTTTAGGCCTTGCCTATTGGCAAGAACACTTTAAGTCTATACTTCACGTTGACAAGGATGAAGTGAGACTAACAGACATCGTCAGCACTAAGAAGAAGAAATGTAAACTAGAACTGGCTTTCTAGAAAGCAATTTGGCAATATATACCAAAATGTCATACTTCAGATCCAGAACACTCTAGGAAATAAAGATGAGATCAAAGATTAATGTACGAGAATGTTGTTTCCTATGTAATTATTAATAGCGAGAATTTACAAATGATCAAACTGGCAGTAATAGGAAAATGATACATTTATATGATGAATCAGACTTATCACCACTTTTGAGACAGAGTATCGCTCTTTCCCCCAGGCTGGAGTGCAGTGGCTCAATCTCAGATCACTGCAAACTCCACCTCCCAGGTTCAGATGACTCTCTCCTGTCTCAGCCTCTGGAGTAGCTGGGATTACAGGCGCACACCATCAGGCCTAATTTTTGTATTTTTAGTAGAAACGGAATTTCGCCATGTTGGCCAGGCTGGCCTCAAACTCCTGACCCAAGTGATCCACCTACCTCAGACTCCCAAAGAGCTGAGATTACAGGCGTGAGCCACCGCAACTGGCCAAAACCACTAATAAAACAAAACAAAACAAAAAAACTTACAACACAGGGAAACTGTTCACATCATAACCAAATGAAAATGGCAGAATGCAAAACCACATGTGCAATATGATCAATTGTTTTAAAATATTTTTATTTGTAGATATAAAAATTAATTTAAAATGTAGAATAAAAAAATAAAGGACAGAATTATGTGTAAGTCTAGTTTTCTTTTTTTTAAACGGAGTCTCGCACTGTCGCCCGGGCTGGAGTGCAATGGCACGATCTTGGCTCACTACAACCTCTTAGCCTCCCAGGCTCAAGCAATTCTCCTGCCTCAGCCTCCCAAGTAGCTGGGGTTACACGTGCCCACCACCACGCCCAGTTAATTTTTTGTATTTTTAGTAGAGACGGGGTTTCACTCTGTTGGCCAGGCTGGTCTCAAAGTCCTGACCGCGTGGTCCACCCACTTCAGCCTCCCAAAGTGCTAGGATTACAGGTGTGAGCCACCACGCTCAGCAAGTCTAGTTTTCTTTTACACTTTGTACTTTATGATCAGAAAATTGGAGCCTTAATTTTGCCTTTTTAAAAATGATCAAAGTTTACTAAGCTAAAACTGGCCTGAGGGATAGCTAGAATGAAAATAGTCACGGCAACCTGGATTCTAGGCAAGTTACTAATTTGTATAGCCTCAATTGTGAAAGTGTTAATACTACCTTTAAAGAATCAGAAGGATTAAAAAATATAATTAATGCATCCAAGTCTGGTGGCACACACCTGTAATCCCAGCACTTTGTAGGCCGAGGTGGGCAGATCATTTGAGGCCAGGAGTTCAGCACCAGCCTGGGCAACATGTTGAAACCCACTCTCTACTAAAACTAGAAAAAAATTAGTCAGGCTGGGTCATGAGCACGGAGTAATTCCAGCTACTCCAAAGGCTGAGATGAAAGGATCACTTGAACCCGGGAGGCCAAGGTTGCAGTCAGCTAAGATAGCGGCACTGCATTTTAGCATGGGCAACAGAGAAAGACTCTATCTCAAAAAATAATAATAAATATTATTATTTAAATTAACATGCACTTAATGCATTAATTTATCTTAATTGTAAAGATGTTAATGATATATGCTCTCTTAAGCTTATAAACGCAACAGATATTTTTTAAGTCCTTTTTTTAAACAAGAGAGGGAAGCACAGTGGGTGCACTTAACGTACTCATTCCAAATTTTTTCTGAATGAATAAATACTTAAGAATAATCAAGGAGGACGGGCGCGGTGGCTCACGCCTGTAATCCCAGCATTTTGGGAGGCCAAGGCGAGTGGATCACGAGGTCAGGAGAGCGAGACCATCCTGGCTAACACGGTGAAACCCCGTCTCTACTAAAAATACAAAAAAATTAGCCGGGTGTGGTGGCGGGCGCCTGTAGTCCCAACTACTTGGGAGGCTGAGGCAGGAGAATGGCGTGAACCCAGGAGGCGGAGCTTGCAGTGAGCTGAGATCGTGCCACTGCACTCTAGCCTGGGCGACAGAGCGAGACTCCATCTCAAAAAATAAATAAATACTTCTATAAAGACAATATTCAAATTAATGACTACATAAGAAGAGAACATCAAACTTCAGTGGATAAAAACCTAGCATATGATAAATGGAGATATTTTAGAAATTAGAGCCCTTAAGATTCAAAAGCAATTCTCTCCACAGAAAGCCAGGTAAGACATGAAAATTAAAGGCCATTACCTAATTCCAGGCTACTGTGTGTTGGGATATCAGAGTGACAAAGACAGTGGATAAGTGCAGGGCTTTTGTTTTTCAGATTAAGTATCTCTGCTAGTTCAAAGGTTGGGAGATTTACCAAGTTATAATTTACAAACAAAAACATGAACTATTGAATAAACGTTAAGACAACTATCTATCTATTCAGAAAAAAAAATAAAGGGTGCTCTGCCTCAGCCCTGGAAGCGAGACTGTTCCTTATGTCTACTAGTCTTGTATTCTTTAGGGTTTTCTTTTGTCTTAGTGGGTGATCTCCAGTTTAGTTAATAATTCTTTATATTAAACTTCTCTAATTTAAAAATAAATAAATTGCAAATGGATTGGACTACAAAATATAAAAAACCACAAGTGTTGAAAATGATAAGGTTTTTTCTCTTTAAATAAACATGAGAGTTGGGGAGGTCTTCCTCAGCAAAATAAGAAACCCAGAAACCATAAATTTAAAAAAAAAAAAAAAAGGTCAGATCTACATAAAAATTAAAGCTTTCTGCATAACAAAAAATTTTTAAAACGAGGTAAATGACAAACTGTGAGACCAAAATTTGCAACACATACCAAAGGGCTAATATAATTTACAAAGAGCTCCTCCAAATTACTGAGAAAAGGACAACCCAATGGAAAAATGGGAAACAGATATAAACAGACAAGCCACAAAAGAAAGATGTGAAACAGCAACTCATAGTAGAAGAGAAAAGGAAGAGGAAGAAGAAGAAGAAAGGGAGGGAGGAAGGGAGGGCAAGCAAAAAAAGAAAAAAATGAAAGAAAGAAAAAAATGGATGAAAGGAAGGAAGCAAGCCAGCCAGCCAATAAACAAAGAGGCCATAATTAATATAATTCCTATCCTGGAAGTGCAAATTAAAAAGCCACACTTCAACCAGGCACAGTGGCTCACTCCTATAATCCCAGCACTTTGGGAGGCCAAGGAGGGTGGATAAATTGAGAACAGGAGATCAAGACCAGCCCGGCCAACATGGTGAAACCCTGTCTCTACTAAATATACAAAAAAATGAGCCAGGTGTAGTGGTGCACGCCTGTAATCCCAGCTACTTGAGGGGCTGAGGCACGAGAATCGCCTGAACCTGGGAGGCAGAGGTTACAGTGAGCAGAGATCACACCACTGCACTCCAGCCTGGGCAACACAGCAAGACTTGGTCTCAAAAAAATAAAGAAAAGAAATAAAATAGGCCAGGCGCAGTGGCTCACGCCTGTAATCCCAGCACTTTGGGAGGCCAAGGCGGATGCATCATCTGAGGTCAGGAGTTAGAGGCCAGCCTGACGAACATGGCGAAACCTCATCTCTACTAAAAATATAAAATTAGCCGAGCATGGCAGCACATGCCTGTAATCCCAGCTACTTGGGAGGCTGAGGCAGGAGAATCACTTGAACCTGGGAGGTAGAGGTTCCAGTGAGCCGAGATAGTGCCACTGCACTCTAGCCTGGGCGACTGAGCGAGATTCCATCTCAAAAAATAAATAAATAAAATAAAATAAAAAGCCACACATCATCTACCTGCTTAAAACCCTTCAGTGGGTTCCCGTACACCTCTAAGGAAAAAGACCCCTCAGGCCAGCCCATACCTACTCCTCTACCCAGGCACAGTGACCTTTCTTCAGTTATGTTACTCGTTCTGCATCCTCCAAAACCAGGAGTCCTGCTCATCCATCAGATCTCGGCTCCAGGACTACTTCATCAAAAGCCTTTACTGACCTCTGTATATTGGTCAAATAAGTCAGTTATAGGCATTCATAGCATTGTGTTCATCTAGTTGCTCAGGCCAAACACCTTTGAGTAATCCTTGACTACTCAGTTTCTTTTGCATCCCATATTCAATCCGTCAGCAAATCCTGTTGGCCATACTTTCAAAATATAACCTCCATCCTGGTCCAAGCTTCAACATCTTTTTTCTGGATTCATACCTCCCTATTACTCCACTGCCAATCCAGCAGTCAGAGTGATTTTTTTTTTGAGACAGGGTCTTACTCTGTCACCTAGGTGGGAGTGAAGTAGCAAGATCACAGCTCACTGCAGCCTCGACCTCCCAGGCTTAGGTGATCCTCCCACCTCAGCCTCCTGAGTAGCTGGGACTAGAGGCACAGGCCATCACACCCGGCTAATTTTTTGTAGAGATGCGGTTTTGCCATATTGCCCAGGCTGGTCTCAAACTCCTGGGCTCAAGCAATCCACCCACCTAGGCCTCCCAAAGTGTTGAGATTACAGGTATGAGACAACACCACGCCCGCTCAGTGTTTTGGGTTTTTTTTTTTTTTTTTTTTTTTTTGCGACAGAGTCTCACTCTGTTGCCCAGGCTGGAGCACGGTGGCATGATCTTCGCCCACTGCAACCTCCACCTCCCAGGTTCAAGCAATTCTCCTGCCTCAGCCTCCCAAGTAGCTGGGATTACAGGCGCGTGCCACCATGTCTGACTAATTTTTGTATTTTTAGTAGAGATTGGGTTTCACCATGTTGGCCAGGCTGGTCTGGAACTCCTGACCTCAGGTGATCCACCTGCCTCAGACTCCCAAAGTGCTGGGATTACAGGCGTGAGCCTGTATACTGTTTGTCAGGCACAATTCTAGGCATGAGCCACCTCGCCTGTAATCCCAGCACTTTGGCCCAGAGTGATTTTTTTAAAACATAAGTGAGATCACATCATTCCTCTGTTCAAAGCTTTTCAATGGTTCCCCATAGTGAAAACCAATCTTTGCAATACTTCTAGGGCCCAAGAAGATCTGCCTCCACCTCGTTACCTCTCTGACCTCATATCCTACTACACTCTTGCCCCAGGCCCCGTAACATCATTCCAGCCAGACTGACCTCCATGCCATTACTCAAACATGCCAGACATGCTTCCGCCCTCAAGGCATATGCAAAAACTGATCCCTGCCTAGAACACCCTTCCACCAGATATCCTCAAGGCTAACTCCTCTATCTACTTCAAGTCTTTGCACAAATGTCATCTTCTCAATAAAGCTGCCTGACCAGCCTATTTAAAACCAGCCCCACCCCCTTCCCTTTCTCCTGCTCTGTTTTCTTTTTTCCATTGCACTTATCATCTAACAACCCGTATCATTTGCTTACGTTTGTTGTTTAATATCCGTTTCTCCCACACTAGGGCAGGGTTATTTATTATCTATATTGCCTACTGATGTATTCCAAATGCCTAGAATTGTGCCTGACAAACAGTATGCATTCATATTAGATGAATAAATAGTTTTGTGTGTGTCTATAGGATTATCTAATTAATGGCTGAATGATTCACTACCTGGGAAAGGGACTGGGTCTGGTTTTGTTCATCACTGTATTTCCTAGATCCTAGCATAGGATTCGGCATAGAATAGGCACACAAATACTTGTTAATTGAACAATACAACTCTTTTTTTTTTGAGACAGAGTCTCACTCTGTCCCCCAGGCTGGAGTGCAGTGGCACGATCTCGGCTCACTGCTCACTCCACCTCCCGGGTTCAAGCGGTTCTTCTGCCTCAGCCTCCTGAGTAGCTGGGACTACAGGTGCGCACCACCACACCCGGCTAACTTTTGTATTTTTAGTAGAGATGGGGTTTCACCATATTGGCCAGGCTGGTCTTGAACGCCTGACCTTGTGATCCATCTGCCTTGGCCTCCCAAAGTGCTGGGATTACAGGCATGAGCCACCATGCCCGGCCAAACAATATCACTTTTTTTAATCAAAAGACACAAATTTAAAACAAATGACATCATCCAGAGCTTGTAGGATTACAGGGGAAATCCACCTGCCATATATCGTTGGCAAGTATGTAAATTGATGCCTTGGAGAGTAAGCTAGCAACAGGTATTAAAATTTAAACCACTCGGAACTCATGCCCTTTATTTAATTCACTAGTCTTACAGAAGTAAAAGAGTACCTTAAAAAATATGCACAAGGACATCCATTACAACACTGCTTATAAAATAATTAAAATTTGAAAACAATCTACTTGCCCCACAATAGGGAAATAGGCCATAAATCATGCCTGGTACATGCATATGATAAGATCGTCTTTAAGAAGAATGAAGAAGGCCTACAACACTGACCTGGAAGTAGTCCATGATCTAGTACATAAGCCAGATGGCATGGATTTGAATCCTGCTCCCCCACTTAATAGCTGTATAACACAGGCACGTTTCTTTAACTTCTGTGTGCTTCAGTTTCCTCATCAAGAAAATAGAAGCAGTAATATTCAATAGTACCATTGCTATGAAGATTTCCTAAGATAATGCCTATAGTGTTTGCAGAACATTACATGGCCATATAACCATGAGTATATAATATGATAGCTAACATTTATTAAGTGAGATAGGGAAGTTGCAGACTTATGTATGTAAAGCATGTCCTTCAGGGGTAAAAGGTAGCATGTCTGTGTAACTAACAGGAAACAATCAGGAATCCAGCCTGGCCAACATGGCAAGAATAAAAAATAATGAAGTAGGCTGGGTGCAGTTGCTCATGCCTGTAATCCCAACACTGAGAGGCCAAGATGGGAGAATCACTTGAGCCCAGGGGTTCAAGACCAGACTGGGCAACACAATGAGACCCTCTCTACAAAAGAAAAAAAAAAAAAAGAAAAAAAGTGAAGTAAAACCAGAGCAAATGCTTCAAAGATATAGTTGAACTTAGATTAAAAGAAATACTAAAATTAGAAAATTTTCATTTTTAAATTCTCAAGGGAAAACAGATCAACTGAAATTTCTTTAACTATTAAAATTACCTGTATTCCAAATAAGTAAACTAAGATGCAGTATCAAAAACCCAAAACTTTTTTTAACTTACAAAATAATTACAATGAATAAAATGATTACATTTCATCCCTTCGATTTACACACAAATCGATTTTCCTAATCTACCATATGGCCATGAAAAACAGACAATATTTTTTTTTTTTTAAAAAGTCATCAAAGACAATCGCTTCTGAAACAGGATAAAACAAGATAAAGTCAAAGACTAAGCAGTTAGTTATCTTTCACCACCAGTTTGACACAAAAGAATTCTGGCGATTTTTTTTTTTTTTAATCAGCAGGACTAGGAAATTCAAACGTGCCTAAAGCTAAAATGGTCTACATGAGTTCAGCTAAAGACACAAATTAAATCCCCAAAAGCCGGACTCACGGGCTCACACCTACAATCCTAGCACTTTGGGAAGTGTAGGCAGGTGGATCCCTTGAGTTCAGGAGTTTGGGACCAGCCTAGGCAACATGGCAAAACGCCGTATCTACAAAAATACAAAAATTAGCTGGGAATAGTGGCATGCACCTGTAGTCACAGCTACTTGGGAGGCTGAGGTAGCAGGATTGCTTTGACCCCAGGAGGTCGAGGCTGCAGTGAGCCAAGATCGCGCCACTGCTCTCCAGCCTGGGCAACAGAGTGAGATACTGTCTCAAAGAAAAAAAAAAAAATTAAAATCCCCAAGATGAACTTCTAAGGCACTGACACAAGGCACTCAAACGTACCAAATTATCTCTCTCCTACTGTAAAAAGTAGCCATGGCTACCTACATTAATTTAAAATAAAAATTGCAATCTATGCAAACTAAATCTCATCCTAGAGTCACAAGATTTGAGAAATAGGAAAGAAACCTGAACTAAAATACCAAGAATACAAGATTTCCTAAAGCTAGTTTTCCCTAGCCTCGTTCAAGTGCTTAGTCACTTCTGCCTATTTACAAGGAAGACCATTTCATATCTTCAAAGAGGCAGGGAATTTTGATTCCAGACGGTCATGTCACCTGAGCTGCCCTAGACGTTTCTTTCCATGCAACTCAAGAGAAGGCAGCAGCCAGCTATGCATACCTACCACTCCTGTTCAGAACCACAAGCTCTCTGTATCTTGCCTCTGTGTGCAGTAACAAAGTGGGATTGTGGAAGAACAAAGTTTTCTTGCCTGACACCAAATGCAAAAGGTGATCATTAAAATGCAGCCTGAAGACATCCCAGTTTCCTCTCTCTGACAGCCCACCAAAAATGCTTCCCTTCCCTTCTCCTGGAACAGAAACAGCAAAGCAGGTTCTTATAAAAGTCTAAATGCTTACTGGACATCTCCCCTTAGGCAAGCAACAACACCCAAAACTACAGGCTAACAGGCTCTGAAGCACATTTCCCAGAGAGCAGCCAGAACCTTAAAATCTGATAACATGGTTTCAAGTTCCCCAAAGGCAAAAATAAAAAGTAAGGGTTTCACGAAAGGTTATTTTGAGACAACCCCAAGGAAAGCCAAGTTTTAAAGTACCTACTCCGTACCAAGCCCCTTTTCCCAACATTCTACTCTACTCACACTTAAAGATGCTAAGCACACACGCTGATTATAGAAATACACCAGAAAGTACTTTCACAACTAGATACAGTGGGACCTTGGAAAAGCCCAAGCACACTATTTCCAAACATCTATTCTAGGTGGTAAAACCTGGAACCATGTAGTCAATCTGTGAAGCACAGCTTAGTCCAATTTCCCAGAAGGTCACGAAGGGCTCTGACAACCAACTTTGATTATTTAGGATGGGGCCCTTTTTTCCTTCCAAGAATATAAATGACACATTTCTTCGACTTCACTTTTTTTTTTTTAGTTCCACAAGCAAATATCTTCAAGTAGTGCAAGTAGGCCTCAGCATTCTCAAACACTATTCTCATTATTCCTAATACCTCCATAATACTATTATTGTATATACACATTCGTGTTGCTATTTTTATAGATAAAATATAAAGGCATGAATTAACCTCTTGGTTAATTCGTGGGTGAGAATACTGAGGCTCAACGAGGCTAAGAAATGAGCCCAGAGCTTGCTGGTTAAGAATACAGGTCCTCTAGACTCCCAGGCCCCAACACTTAACCATTAAGCCACACTGCCATTCAGGGAATGCTACTAAATCCAGTTACTGTACACAACTACTTTCAGGTCACATAACTGGGTGCAAAGAGTTCTATAGCAAGGATTGGGGCGGCAGGGAGGGTACACTACCTAAGCTAAGATTTTTTTTCTTTAACGAATATAGCACATGTTCCCGATTTCCATCCTCCCCCACGGGCAGAACCCACGTGCCGGTCCCCCGCTACCCAGAACCGCTCCCTCCCCACACTACCCCACGCTACCCAGCAGCCTCCCCACGCCCTTCCCTCTGCCCTCCCGCAAGCGCTGCACCCGCGCCTCCCGCCCCCTCCCCAGCGACGGCAGCCGGGGCGCCCGCGCCGCCCTCGCGCGCCGCAGCCCGCGCGCCCCCGCCTCCGCCCGGCGGGGTCACCCCCGGGGCCTGCGCGCGCCCTTGCCGCCGCCTGCCCGCCCCGAAATCCTCCCGCGACGCCGACGCCGGGCAGGCCGCGCCCGCCGCGCCTGCCATGGTGGGCGCCTCACCGTCAGGCTGGGAAGCCGGGCCCGGCTGCGCCATGACCAGGCGGCCGGCCTCGGGGAGCGGGGATGGGCGGGGAAGCGGCGTCCTGGGCTCCCGCGGGCTCAGCTGGCGGAGGAGGCGTCAACCGAGCCGCCGCCGCCGCCGCCCAGAGAGAAACCGCTAAGGCTGGATCCGCCGGCGCCGCCACAGCCGCGGGCAGAGACGGACCCGACCGCCGACCTCCGCCTCCTCATCCTGACAGCGGGAAATAAGCAGTGCGCAGGCGCAGGGGGATGGGGCGGCACGTGACGTTGGCCCGAGGGGAGGGGCGGGGCCTCGGGAGCGCGGAGGGAGCGCGGAGGGAGCGCGGAGGGAGCGCGGAGGGAGCGCGGAGGGAGCGCGGAGGGAGCGCGGAGGGAGCGCGGAGGGAGCGCGGAGGGAGCGCGGCGGGAGGGGAGGGTTTCGGCGGAGCTGGGCGCCTGACCCAGCGGCGCGGGGAGGCTGAGTGCCGAGCGGAGCTGGAGAAGAGGGGCTGCAGCAGAGGCCTGGCCTCTCGAAGGTGCCGGTCCCGGTTCTCCACCCCAGCACAGTGAGGGGAAAAAAAAAAATGAGTAAGAGAGGAGGACCGATGGCGGGGTGCAGTTCCAGCCTCTACCTCTTCTAGCTTTGCGACCTTGGGAGAGTCACTTCACCTCTTGGAATTTTTATCAATATAATGGCTAAGAAAAGTTTAAACGAGGTAATAAAGTATGAAGAACTGTTTCCGACAGTACTGGGCCTGGACCCCAGGTCTTCTGGTGCAGAGGCCAGTATACTATCCATTCAGCAAATACGTTTGGGTTTTCAGTCGTGATAGATGCTGGAGATACAGCCAGGTACAGACCCTGCACTCATGGCAGGAAAGGAGAAATCATATACACAAAGTGTGGCCCTTATACTTGGGCCCCTGGGCCCTATACTTTAGGAACTCCCCTCTAATCACCACTCCCCGTCTGATTTCGACACCTGGAGTGCCCCATGCCAAGGAGGTAGTTTAAAAAGCTTTTTTTTTTTTTTTGGAGATAGAGTCTCACTCTGACACCCAGGCTGGAGTGCCATGGTGCGATCTCGGCTCACTGCAACCTCTGCCTCCCGGGTTCAAGCAATTCTCCTGCCTCAGCCTCCCGACTAGCTGGGACAACAGGCGCACGCCACCACACCCGGCTAATTTTTGTATTTTTAGTAGAGACGGGGTTTCACTATGTTGGTCAGGCTGGTCTCAAACCCTTGACCTCGTGATCCGCCTGCCTCAGCCTCCCAAAGTGCTGGGATTACAGGCGTGAGCCACCGCGCCCGGCCTAAAAAGCTATTTTGAAATCAGAGAGGAGCATCAGGAATTATGTACATTTTAAGACCCAGCAATCCCACCCCAGGATGAGGGAGTCCACAGGGTTTGGCACTTCAGGACCAAGTTCTGAATACTTGTGGCCCCAGAATTCCCTTTCCAGATGGCTGAAGCTGTGGTCTCTTTCCCAGATCCATTCTCTCTATGGCAGAGTCTAGACATCCCTAAAAGAAGCTAAAGTGAAAGCATAAAGAATGAGTTCATGTCCTTTGCAGGGACATGCATGAAGCTGGAAACCATCATTCTCAGCAAACTAACACAGGAAAAGAAAACCAAACACCTCATGTTCTCACTCATAAGTGGGAATTGAATAATGAGAACACATGGACACAGGGAGGGGAACATCACACACCGGGGCCTGTGGGGGGTGGGGGGAAGGGGAGGGAGAGCATTAGGACAAATACCTAATGCATGCGGGGCTTAAAACCTAGATGACGGGTTGATAGATGCAGCAAACCACCATGGCACATGTATACCTATGTAACAAACCTGCACGTTTAGCACATGTATCCAAGAATTTAAAGTATAATAAAAAAATAATAATAGGCCGGGCACAGTGGCTCACGCCTGTAATCCCAGCACTTTGGGAGACTGAGGCAGGTGGATCACGAGGTCAGGAGTTCAAGATCAGCCTCTCCAAGATGGTGAAACCCCATCTCTACTAAAAATACAAAAAATTAGTCGGGTGTGGTGGCAGGCGCCTGTACTCCCAGCTACTCGGGAGGCTGAGGCAGAGAATTGCTTGAACCCAGAAGGCGGAGGTTGCAGTGAGCCAAGATCGCACCACTGCCAGCCTGGGCGACAGATCGAGACTCCATCTCAAATAATAATAATAATAATCAGAAAATCCACTAATTAGAATCAGTTTCTACTTTCTTTAAATCATTTGTTTTAAATAAGGTATACTTTTATTAAAATGATTATTTCTCACTGAAAAAAAGGGAGGCTAAAGGGCAGCTTTGTTTTATTTTAAGGGGGTGACACGACACTTGGGTGTTTGAGCTCCTATGTCCACAGATCCCTCATGGTGCAGGACAGAGGTGAGAAAAGAAGGCAAGTGAGCCAAGAGACAATAGTTGGGCCAGGGCCTGTGCTGCTTTCGCCACCTCATTCATGGGCATAACTCCCAGGAGCCCAGGAATTCTAAATTTAAACCTGGTCTTCCAGGTCTTAAACAGGTAGATTTGTCCAAGTAGAAGGATAGACTGTATTAAGGTTAGCGGTTAATTGGAGTAGTTTGTAATTTTATTTTATTTTATTATTTATTTAATTTTTGGAGACGGAGTCTCTCACTCTATTGCCCAGGCTGGAGGGCAGTGGCACCATCTCAGCTCACTGCAACCTCCACCTCCCGGATTCCAGTGATTCTCCTGCCTCAGCCTCCTGAGTAGCTAGGATTATAGGCGTGTGTCACCACGCCCAGTTAACTCTTGTAATTTTAGTAGAGACAGGGTTTCACCATGTTAGCCCGGCTGGTCTTGAACTCCTGACCTCAAGTGATCTACCCACCTCGGCCTCCCAAAGTGCTGGGATTACAGGTGTGAGCCACCACGTCCAAACTGGTTTGTAATTTTAAATAATTTAGGTATCTATTTGTACTTTTGCCCCAGGTCCTGCCATCGTTAGAGGAGAGCCAAAATACAGACTCGAGTTTTTTGAGCAGTTAATGTCTCCCAAATGGCTGGTGTGCATTTGAGAGAGCAAGCAGGGTCTCCCCAACACCCTGCCCAACCCCCCATAAATGATTTTCCTGGATGAGCAAATCCATGCTTACCAGGAAGACCTTTGGCCAGGATAGGGCAGCCCAGTGCATCCTCTGTATTGTTGTGATGACTAACACGAGGCATAAGCCATAAAGATAGCAGATGCGGCCAGGTGTGGTGGCTCACGCCTGTAATCCCAGCACTTTGGGAGGCCGAGGCGGGCAGATCATTTGAGGTCAGAAGTTCAAGACCAGCCTGACCAACATGGTGAAACCCTGTCTCTACTAAAATACAAAAATTAGCCAGGCGTGGTGTTGGGCACTTACAATCGGGAGGCTGAGGCAGAATTGCTTGAACCCAGGAGGTCCAGAGGTTGCAGTGAGCCAAAATTGCACCACTGCACTCCAGCCTGGGCGACAGAGCAAGACTCCCTCTCAAAAAAAAGAAATAAATAAAAATAAAATAGAAGGGGCTCCTTCCAGTGAGAGAGTGGCAAATTTGTTGCCATTGATAATGAGGCTTGAAGCCAGGCCCTCAAGTCAAGGTCCCTCAGAAATGGTCAGGCATATGATTTGGACACCTAGGGCTCTCCATGTGAGGGAAGTAGTTAAAAAGCCATTTTGAAATCAGATAGGAGCATCAAGAATATTGAACATTTTCGTATTTTTAGGTAAACCTTAAGACCCAGCAGTTCCACCCCTAGGAATATATTTTAGGAAAACAAATGTATGCTCAAAGTCTTTACTAAGTATAAAAGATGTGATTCTTATGTTCTGAAGGAAATTGGGAATAAGACATAAACACATGAAATAATTAGTTACCAATGACATTGCCCATGTGCCCCAGGAGACACACGAATATTCACAGTGGCATAGTTCATAATACGATAAATAAAGGACTCATATGTTCATCAACAGTGGACTAGATTTTTAAAAAGTTTTAACATACAGGGCATCATGGCGGGTGCCTGTAGTCCCAGCTACTGGAGAGGCTGAGGCAGGAGAATGGCGTGAACCCAGGAGGCGGAGCTTGCAGTAAGCCAAGATCACACCATTGCACTCCAGCCTGGGCGACAGAGCGAGACTCTGCCTCAAAAAAAAAAAAGTTTTAACATACAATGGAATATTCTACAGCAATGAAAATGAACAAACTGGCCAGGTGCGGTGGCTCACGCCTGTAATCCCAGCACTTTGGGAGACCGAGGCGGGCGGATCACGAGGTCAGGAGATGGAGACCATCCTGGCTAACACGGTGAAGCACCGTCTCTACTAAAAATACAGAAAATTAGCCAGGCGTGGTGGCGAGTGCCTGTAGTCGCACCTACTTGGGAGGCTGAGGCAGGAGAACGGCGTGAACCCAGGAGGTGGAGCTTGCAGTAAGCGGAGATCGCGCCACTGCACTCCAGCCCGGGCAACAGAGCGAGACTCCGTCTGAAAAAAAAAAAAAAAGAGCAAGTTCTGTGGAACTGATAGAAAGCATTCACTCTATGTTTCATTAATATAGTCACACAGTGTAGATTATAGGAACGGACGCATCTCCTGCACATTATCCTGATTGGGTCACATCAGCAATGTTGGTTCTGTGCACCATTTTTTGCAGGGACACTGACCAGCTGCAGTGGATGGAGACCCAAGGAATGAAGTATCTATCCAAAAGTTTCTGTGCAAAATACATGGAAATATCAAAGAAAGTTACACTAGGGGTAGGAGGGTAGATGACTTGGGCCATGAAGATTGTCCTCAAATCCCTGGAATACAGTGCATACAGATGGGCAGGGATTGCAGCAAGAGAGTCTTCAGCTCTTCAACTAGATTTCTTCAACTAAAGAAGAACTTGCTCTCCCTCAGAGCTGACCAGAGCAAGAAGGAACTGCCCTTCGGGCAGTGAGCTTGTCACTGCAAGTGTACAAGCAGATCTGGCTAGCAAGTGGTCAGACATGCTAGAGAACAGACTGCTGCATTTTAATGTTGACTACATGTTTCCCATAAATATTATTTCCCCAACTGACAACCCAAAAGGTGGGCAATAGGCACAGAGTAGGCCGGGTGTGGTGGCTCATGCCTCTAATCCCAGCACTTTGGGAGGTAGAGGCATGCAGATCACTTGTGGTCAGGAGTTCCAGACTGCCCTGGCCAACATGGCAAAACCTCATCTCTACTAAAAATACAAAAATTAGCCAGGTGTGGCGGCACGCACCTGTAATCCCAGCTACTCGGGAGGCTGAGGCAGGAGAATTGCTTGAACCTGGAAGATGGAGGTTGCAGTGAGCCAAGATCTCGCCACTGCACTCCAGCCTGGACAACAGAGCAAGACTCCAAGTCAAAAAATAAAAATTTTAAAAAAAGTGGGCACAGAGTAGATAAATCAAAATATCCTCAATGAATTCTGTTTCAAGGATTCTGTCCTGTGGTTTCCAATAAATACAAATGGCTGTCAGACCAGGTGTATCAATTCAGGGTTCAGCTGATAGTACTCACTACTGTTGATAGTAGTACTCACTACTGTTGATAGTACTCACTACTGTTGGTTTTCCTCTCCCTCTGGAATCCAGATTCTCAAGAGCAGGAAGGGACCAGGGAGTGGGGCCAGGGCACCATACGTCCCTGGCCTTCAATAAGGGACAGGTTCAGTACCTGTTATAGGGGAAGGACCAGAAGCAAGGACTTCTGCTTCCCAGACACTTGTCACCTTCCAGGCAAGTGGAAACCCTTGGAAAGTCACAAACTGAGTACTAGCTTCCTCACTAAAGCTTCCCAGGAAGAGCTCATGAGGTACAGACACCCTTGTTGTCTTTAGCCAGGGTGATTCCCCAGCCTGATTTCTCGCTCTCCAAGTATCCCCTGGTTTATTTGGCCATGAGCAACTACTTTCCCCTCCTGGGACCTACAGAAGGAAAACTAGAATCATGATCATTGCTCCATTGCATCCTTGCTCCACCCCTCCATCCCTCTCCCACGTAAGGCCTATGTGGGAGAGTACCGCAAACATAAGGCTGAGGCTGAGTTCTTTTTTTTTTTTTTTTTTTTTTGAGACAGGGTCTCACTCTGTCGCCCAGGGTCGAGTGCAGTGGTGCAATCTCAGCTCACTGCAACCTCCACCTCCTGGATTCAAGCAATTCTCTTGCCTCAGCCTCCCAAATACCTGGGACTACAGGCATGCACCACCATGCCCGGCTAATTAAGGCTGACTTCTCTATCACAGTCTCACAAGATGTAGATTGATATCTAGGGAAGAGCTCCAGGCTTTGAATCAGAAGACCTAGAAATTCTGGTACATGGTGGCTCGCACCTGTAATCCCAGCACTTTGGGAGGCCCAGGTGGGTGGATCTCCTGAGGTCAGGAGTTCGAGACCAGCCTGGCCAACATGGTGAAACCCTGTCTCTACTAAAAACACAAAATTAGCCAGGCACGGTGGCTCATGCCTGTAATCCCAGCCCTTTGGGAGGCCGAGGCGGGCAGATCACGAGGTCAGGAGATCAAGACCATCCTGGCTAATATGGTGAAACCCTGTCTCTACTAAAAATACAAAAACAAAATTAGCCAGGCATGGTGATGGGCACCTGTAGTACCAGCTATTCGGGAAACTGAGGCAGGAGAATGGCGTGAATCTCGGAGGCAGAGCTTGCAGTGAGCCGAGATCGCGCCACTGCACTCCAGCCTAGGCAACAGAGCGAGACTCCATCTCAAAAACAAACAAACAAACAAACAAAAAAACACAAAATTAGCCAGGAGTGGTGGCACATGCCTGTAATCCCAGCTACTCAGGAGGCTGAGGCAGGGGAATTGCTTGAACCTGGGAGGGGGAGGTTGCAGTGAGCCAAGATTGCACCATTGCACTCCAGTCTGGGCAATAGAGTGAGACTCCGTCTCAAAAAAAAAAAAAAGAAATTCTGGTACAAATTACCTTTTGACCCAAAACACATTGTTTAACCTCTCTGAGTTCTTGTTTATCTAAGTTCCTTATCTCTAAAATGGGAATAATAAATCAGCCTTTCAGTACATCAGGAGGCTAAAGAGATCAAATACCTAACCTCTAACACATGGTAGTTGGTCTATAAATATCAGCGTGCCCCTCTACTCATTTCTTTCTTTCTGTCCTTTTTTCCTAGATAGGTAGTTTCCATCCTGGGAAGAAGGGTCCTGGACCATAGAAGTCAGTCTGTGAAGGTATCACTAGGGATCCAGGGCAGAAATCACCAATATTTGCAAAAGCCTAACGGAACCGTCACATTTATTCTAGATAAGGTTGCAAGGCTAAAATGTCAAGTTTCTTTGCTTTGGACAGAAATTATATCATATTGCTTATCACATGCTGATTAAAAGTTCTTTTTTTTTTTTTTTTGAGACAGAGTCTCTGTCACCCAGGCTGTAGTGCAATGGCACGATCTCAGCTTACTGCAACCTCTGCCTCCTGGGTTCAAGTGATTCACCTGTCTCAGCCTCCTGAGTAGCTGGGATTACAGGCACCTGCCATTATGCCTGGCTAATTTTTGTATTTTTGCAGAGACAGGGTTTCACCATGTTGGCCAGGCTGGTCTTGAATTCCTGACCTCAGGTGATCCGCCTGCCTTGACCTCCCAAAGTGTTGGGATTACAGGCATGAGCCACCGTGCCCAGCCCTTATTAAAAGTTGTTATTCCAGTTATTTTATTTTATTTTATTTTTATTGAGATGGAGTCTCCCTCTGTCACCCAGGCCGGAGTGCAGTGGTCCGATCTCGGCTCACTGCAACCTCCGCTGCCTGGGTTCAAGCGATTCTCCTGCCTCAGCCTCCCGAGTCGCTGGGAATACAGGCACACGCCACCACACCCGGCTACTTTTTTTTTCTTTTTTTAGTGGAGACGGAGTTTCACAATGTTGGCCAGGCTGGTCTCAAACTCCTGACCTCAGGTGATCTGCCTGCCTCAGCCTCCCAAAGTGCTGGGATTATAGACATGAGCCACCGCGCCTGGCCTGTTCTTATTCCAGTTCTAATTGGAATTAATTGTTGATTAATAATACAAAGAGGGATCCATTTTTACTTTTTGTTTTGTTTTGTTTTTTGAGACAAAGTCTAACTCTGTCACCAGGCTGGAGTGCAGAGGTGTGATCTCAGCTCACTGCAGCCTCTGTCTCCTGGGTTCAAGTGATTCTCCTTCCTCAGCCTCCCAAGTAGCTGGGACTACAGGTGCACCCCCATGCCTGGCTAATTTTTTTTTTTTTTTTTTTTTTTTGGTAGAGAGAGGGTTTCACCAGGTTGGGCAGGCTGGTCTCAAACTCCTGCTCAAGTGATTCGCCCACATTAGCCTCCCAAAGTGCTGAGATTACAGGTGTAAGCCACCATGCCTGACCCAGTATTACTTGATAAATGTAGTTTGCTAGATATAGTTTCTTCAGAGCTGGTGGATGCACCACTCTCACAGAATTCCTCTTCTGTAACATCAACCACGCCGTGGCATAATTGGCTGGAAATAAAAATAGCTCATATTTACTAGTGTAGACCATGTGCTAAGCAGTGGCCTAAGTGCCTTACCCTTGTGTTGACTCATGTAATCCATTAAAAACAATATGATGGAGATATTGGTTGAGGGAACCTGTCGTCTATTCATAGAGGCAGAGTGGTTTATTTCTTCTTTCTTTTTTTTTTTTTTTTTTTTGAGATGGAGTCTTGTGCTGTTGACCAGGCTGGAGTACAGTGGCGTGATCTCGGCTCACAGCAAACTCCCCCTCCCAGACTGAAGCTGTTCGCCTGCCTCAGCCTCCCAAGTAGCTGAGATTACAGGTGCGCACCACCACACCCAGCTAATTTTTGTATTTTTAGTAGAGATGGGATTTTGCCACGTTGGCCAACGCTGGTCTTGAACTCCTAACCATCTCGGCCTCCCAAAGTGCTGGGATTACAGGTGTGAGCCACCACGCCCAGCCAAAGCTGGCATTTTTTTTTTTTTTTTTTTTTGAGACAGAGTCTCGCTCCATCACCCAGGCTGGAGCGCAGTGGCTGGATCTCAGCTCACTGCAACCTCCACCTCCAGGTTCAAGCAATTCTTGTGCCTCAGCCTCCCAAGTAGCTGGGACTATAGGAGCTCACCACCACATCTGGCTAATTTTTTGTGTTTTTAGTAGAGACAGGGTTTCACCATGTTGGCCAGGCTGGTCTTGAACTCCTGACCTCGAGTGATCCACTACCTTGGCCTCCCAAAGTGCTAGGATTACAGGCATGAGCCACCATGCCCAGCCTGCAGACCATAAAATTAACTGTTAGTAATACGTACCACTTACTGAGCACCTACTATTCACTAAAGATTTTTTATGGAGCGGGCTCGGTGGCTCACGCCTGTAATCCCAACACTTTGGGAGGCTGAGGCAGGTGGATCATGAAGTCAGGAGATCGAGACCATCCTGGCTAACACGATGAAACCCCGTCTCTACTAAAAATACAAAAAAATTAGCCGGGCGTGCTGGCAGGCGCCTGTAGTCCCAGCTACTCCGGAGGCTGAGGCAGGAGAATGGCGTGAACCCGAGAGGCGGAGCTTGCAGTGAGCCGAGGTCCAGCCACTGCACTCCAGCCTGGGCGACAGAGCAAGACTCTGTCTCAAAATAATAATTAATAATAATAATAAAATAAAGATTTTTTATCTCCTCAATCCTTTTAACAGTCCTTTGAAGTAGGTTCCATTATTATCCCAGAGCTCAGAGAGATTAAATGACTTGCCCAATTCACACAGTCAACGGGAAGAACCAGAATTTAAATCCATCTCTGCCTGACTTCAGAGTGTATGCTTATTTGCTGTTGGTGCTGGCTAGCCATATGTGTCAGATACCGCGAATGTAACCGCCCAAGGGGTTCCTTCACCTTGCCCGCTGCCTAGACAGAGCCGATTCATTAAGATAGGGAAATTGCAATAAAGAGTAATTTATGCAGAGCCAGCTGTGTGGGAGACTGGAGTTTTATTATTACTCAAATAAGTCTCCCTGAGCATTTGGGGAGCAGTATTTTTAAGGATAACTTGGTGGGTGGGGGGAAGCCAGGCCAGTGAGTCAGGATTGCTGATTGGTCAGGGGTGAAATCACAGGGAGGTCGAAGCTGTTTTCATGCACTGACTCAGTTCCTGGGTGGGGGCCACAAGATGAGACAAGCCAGTTTATTGATCTGGGTGATGCCAGCTGATCTATCAAGTGCAGGGTCTGCACAGTATCTCAAGCACTGATCTTAGGAGCAGTTTAGGGAAGGTCAGAATCTTGTATCCTTCAGCTGCATGACTCCAAAACCATAATTTCTAATCTTGTGGCTAATGTTAGTCCTACAAAGACAATCTAGTCCCCAGGCAAGAAGTAGGTTTGTTTTGGGAAAGAGCTGTTATTGTCTTTGTTTTAAACTATAAACTAAGTTTTTCCCAAAGTTAGTGCAGCCTACGCCCAGGAATGAACAATGACAGCTTGGAGGTTAGAGGCAAGATGGAGTCGGTTAAGTTAGATCTCTTTCACTGTCTCAGTCATAATTTTGCAAAGGCAGTTTCATGAATATCCCCAAACTTCCATGCTGTAATATTATCAAATGAATTGATTTTTGTAGTTTTCATGGGTATCTCTAAAAGTTACCCTCCCTTATATTTCTTCTTTGTTTTAAAAACTAAGGCCGGGCATGGTGGCTCACACCAGTGATTCCAGGACTTTGTGAGGTCAAGGCTGGCGGATCACCCAAGGTCAGGATTTCGAGACTAGCCTGGCCAACATGGTGAAACCCCGTCTCTACTGAAAATACAAAATTAGCCAGGCATGGTGGGATGTGCCTGTAATCCCAGCTACTTGGGAGGCTGAGGCAGGAGAATCGCTTGAACCCGAGAGACAGAGGTTGTAGTGAGCCGAGATCTAGCCATTCCAGTCCATCCTGGGCAACAAGAGTGAGACTCTGTCTCAAAAAAAAAAAAGCTCTTTAAACATGTCAAAAGATGCTTAACTTCACTCAAAAGAGAATTCAAACTGAAACTCCACTGAGATACTGTTTCTTTTTGTTTTTGTTTTTTGAGACGGAGTGTCGCTCTCGTTGCCCAGGCTGGAGTGCAATGGTGCGATCTCAGGTCACCGCAACCTCCACCTCCCGGGTTCAAGCAATTCTCCTGCCTCAGCCTCCTGAGTAGCTGGGATTACAGGCATGCGCCACCACGCCCAGCTAATTTTGTATTTTTAGTAGAGACGGGGTTTCTCCATGTTGGTCAGGCTGGTCTCAAACTCCCGATCTCAGGTGATCCGTTTGCCTCGGCCTCCCAAAGTGCTGGGATTACAGGTGGGAGCCACCACACCCAGCCTGAGATACTGTTTCTTACTCACTGACTGACAAAAATTCAAAAGGTGGCAACCTACTATATTAATGAAGCTGGAAGGAAAATAATAACTCTTATTACATTGCTGTTGGAAGTACAAACTGGAACAAATACTAGAGAGAGAAAATTTGGCAATGTTTAACAATCATACATTCACATGTATCTATCCTTTGACACAATAATCTCTTTTATAGGAAGTTACCTTGAAGATACATCTGTAAAAAATGAAAGAACAAGTGCACAAGGTTATTAATTGTGACATTTTAGCAAAATGTTATGAACAGCCCATATGCCACGTACACAGGAAACTCATTGAATTATACATGGTAGAGCTACACAGTAGAGTACTATGTGGCATAAACGAGAATGAACAGAAGTTCCATGTATTATTATGAAGTGAATGTCATTATATACTTTTTTTTTTTGAGATAGAGTTTTGCTCTTGTCACCCAGGCTGGAGTACAATGGTATAATCTCGGCTCACTGCAACCTCCACCTCCCAGGTTCAAGCGATTCTCCTGCCTCTGCCTCTCTCTTTTTTTTTTTTTTTTCCTGAGACAGAGTCTCGCTCTGTTGCCCAGGCTGGAGTGCAGTGGCACCATCTCGGCTCACTGCAACCTCCGCCTTGCAGGTTCAGGCAATTCTTCCTGCCTCAACTTCTTAAGTATCTGGGACTACAGGCGCCCAAAGTGCTAAGATTACAGGTGTGAGCCAGCACACCCGGCCATCATGATATATTTTTAAGTGAAAAAAAAAATCATAGTTCAAAAATGTATATAGAGTATGCCACATTTTGTTAAGAAAAGTGGGAAAGGCCAGGCGCGGTGGCTCATGCCTGTAATCCCAACACTTTGGGAAGCCAAAGGGGGTGGATCACCTGAGATCAGGAGTTCAAGACCAGCCTGGCAGACATGGTGAAACCCCATCTCTAGTTAAAGTACAAAAATTAGCCAGGCGTGGTGGTGCTCAACTATAATACCAGCTACTCAGGAGGCTGAGGCAGGAGAATCGCTTGAACCCGGGAGGCGGAGGTTGCGGTGAGCCCAGGTCACGCCATTGCACTCCAGCCTGGGTGACAAGAGCAAAACTCCATCTCAAAAAAAAAAAAAAAAAAAAAGAGAGAGAGAGAGAGAAAGAGGAGGAAATAAGACTATATATTCTGTATTTCCTAAATTTTTAATAATGGCTTTATTGAGATATAACTCAAATTTTAAAATCTACCCCTTGAAAGCACGCACTTAAGTAGTATATTCACAAACATATGCAATCATCACCACAATTTTAGAACAGTTTAAACATCACCAAAGAAACCCTGTACCAATTAAAGTCACTGCCTAGTCTCCTTTTCTGACAGACACTGGCAACGAGCTACTAATCTGTTTTCCATGTAGATGGATTTTCCTATTCTGGACATTTTATATGAATGGAATCACACAATATGCTGGCATTTGCATCTGGCTTCTTTCACCAAGCATGTTTTCAAGGTTCATTGTCTCATAGCACCTATCAGTAATTTGTTTCCCTTTGTGACCAAATAATGTTTTTTTGTGTGGCTATCCCACATTTCGTTATTCATTCATCGGTTGAGGAACATTTGAGTTATTTTCATATAACACTGCTGTGAACATTTGTGTGCAATTTTTATGTGGACATATGTTTTCATTTTGCTCAGCTATATAACCAGGAGTAGAATTGCTGGGTCATATGGTGACTCTATGTTTAGCATTTTGGAGAACTGCTAAACTGTTTTTCAAAGTAGCTGCACCATTTGATGATTCTACCAGCAATGTTTGAGGGCTCCAAATTCTCTACATCTTTGCCAACACTTATTTATTGTCTACTTTTTTTTTTTTTGATGGAGTTTTGCTCTTGTCACCCAGGCTGGAGTGCAATGGCACAACCTTGGCCCACTGCACAACTTCTGCCTCCCGAATTCAAGCAATTCTCCTTCCTCAGCCTCCTGAGTAGCTGGAATTACAGGCACCTGACACCATGCCTGGCTAATTTTTGTATTTTTAGTACAGACGTGGTTTGGCCATGTTGGCCAGGCTGGTCTCGAACTCCTGACCACAGGTGATCCACCTGCCTCGGCCTCCCAAAGTGCAGGGATTACAGGCGTGAGCCACCGCACCTGGCCTATTGTCTACTTTTTTAATTTTAGCTATCCTAGTGAATGTCAAGTGGTAACTTATGGTTTTGAGTTGCATTTGCCTGATGGCCAATGATGTAGACTATCTCTTCATGTGCTTATTGTTCATATATATATATCTTTTCTGGATAAATGTCTATTCAAATCCTTTGCCCATGTTTAAATTGGGTTGTTTTTCTTTTCATTGTTGAGTTGTAGGAGTTCTTTTTGTATTTCGGATTCAAGTCCCTTATCAGATATATGACTTGCAGATATTTTCTGCCATTCTGTAGATTGTCACTTCACTATCTTGATGTGCTTTGAAGAAAGACAGCTTTTATTTTTATTTTATTATTATTATTTTTTGAGATGGACTTTCGCTCTGTTGGCCAGGCTGGAGTGCAATGGCATGATCTCAGCTCACTGCAGTCTCTGCCTCCCAGGTTCAAGCTATTCTCCTGCCTCAGCCTCCCGAGTAGCTGGGATTACAGGCATGTGCCACCACACCCGGCTAATTTTGTATTTTTAGTAGGGATGGGGTTTCTCCATGTTGGTCAATCTGGTCTCAAACTCCCAACCTCAGGTGATCCACCCACCTTGGCCTCCTAAAGTGCTGGGATTATAGGTGTGAGCCACCACACCCGGCCAAAGCTTTTGATTTTGACAAACTCCAATTTATCTATTTTCCCTTCATTGCTTACAGTTTTGATGTCATATCTAAGAAAACATCAACCAATCCAAGATTATGCCTATGTTTTCTTCTAAGAGTTTAATACTTTTAGCTTTTACATTTGGGCATTTGATTCCTTCTGAGTTAATTTTTGTCTTTTATCGTGAAGGAGTGCAACTTCACTCCTTTGCATATAGGTATCTATTTGGCCCAGCACCATTTGTTGAAGAAGCTATTCTTTCCTGCAATGAATTGTATTGACCACCCTTGTTGAAAACCAATTGACAATATGTATAGGTTTATTTCTGGACCTCGATTCTATTCCATTGATCTTTATGTCTGTCTTGTGTGAGTACCACGCTGTTTTGATAACAGTAGCTTTGTAGTAAATTTTAAAATTAAGAAGAGTTAATCCTTCAACTTTATTCTTCTTTGTTAAGATTGTTGGCCGAGGCCAGGTGCCGTGGCTCATGCCTATAATCCTAGCACTTTGGGAGGCCACAGCAGACAGATCACTTGATGTCAGGAGTTCTAGACCAGCCAGGACAACATGGTGAAGCCCCATCTCTACTAAAAATACAAAAATTTGCTGGGCATGGTGGTGGGCACCTGTAATCTCAGCTACTCGGGAGGCTGAGGCAGGAGAATGACTTCAACCTGGGAGGTGGAGGTTGCAGTGAGCTGAGATCATGCCACTGCCCTCCAGCCTGGGTGACAGAGGGAGTCTTTTTTTTTTTTTTTTGAGACGGAGTCGCCCAGGCTGGAGTGCAGTGGCGCGATCTCAGCTCACTGCAAGCTCCGCCTCCCGGGTTCACGCCATTCTCCTGCCTCAGCCTCCCAAGTAGCTGGGACTACAGGAGCCCGCCACCACGCCTGGCTAATTTTTTTTGTACTTTTAGTAGAGACAGGGTTTCACCGTATTAGCCAGGATGGTCTCGATCTCCTGACCTCGTGATCTGCCCACCTCAGCCTCCCAAAGTGCTGGGATTACAGGCGTGAGCCACCGTACCTGGCCGACAGAGGGAGTCTTAAAAAAAAAAAAAAAGAAAGATTGTTTTGGCTCTTCTGGGTTCACTGAATTTACATATGAATCTTAAGATCAGGCTGCCTTTGGGAAGTGGAGATGGGCGGATCACCTGAGGTTGGGAGTTCAAGACCAGCCTGACCAACATGAAGAAACCCCGTCTCTACTAAAAATACAAAAATTAGCTGGGCTTGCTGGCGCATGCCTGTAATCCCAACTACTCAGGAGGCTGTGGCAGGAGAGTCGCTTGAACCCAGGAGGCAGAGGTTGCGGCGAGCCACGATTGCGCCATTGCACTCCAGCCTGGGCAACAGGAGGGAAACTGTCTCAAAAAAAAAAAAGATCAACTTGTCAATGAAGTCAGCTAGGACTTCGAAAAACGTTGGGGTTGAATCTGTCATTCTGAAGAGTGTTGTTCATTAAACAATATTGTCTTCTAATTTATGAATATGGCGTGTCTTTGCATTTTTTTGGTCTTAAATTTCTTTGAACAATATTTTATACGTTTTCTCTTTTTTTGTTTGTTTTTTTGAGATGGAGTCTCACTCTGTCGCCAGGCTGGAGTGCAGTGGCGTGATCTTGGCTCACTGCAACCTCCGCCTCCCAAGTTCAGGTGATTTTCCTGCCTCAGCCTCCTGAGTAGCTGGGATTACAGGCACGCGCCACCACGCCGAGCTAATTTTTGTATTTTTAGTAGAGATGGGGTTTCGCCATGTTGGCCAGGATGGTCTTGATCTCCTGACCTCCTGATCCGCCCACTTCAGCCTCCCAAAGTGCTGGGATTACAGGCATGAGCTACCGTGCCCGGCAGTTTTTTTGTTTGGTTTTTTTTTTTGAGACAGAGTTTCGCTCTTGTTGCCAAAGCTGGAGTGCAATGGCGCAATCTCAGTTCACTGCAACCTCTGCCTCCCGGGTTCAAGCGATTCTCCTGCCTCAGCCTCCTGAGTAGCTGGGATTACAGGTGCCTGCCACCATGCCCAGCTAATTTTTGTATTTTTAGTAGAAACAGGGTTTCACCATGTTAGCCAGGCTGGTCTCAAACTCCTGACCTCAGGTGATCTGCCCACCTTGGCCTCCCAAAGTGCTGGGATTACAGGCGTGAGCCACTACACCTGGCCAATATTTTATTGTTTTTAGAGTATAGATTTGGTACTTCTTTTGTTAAATTTATCCCTAAGTATTTCATTGTTTTCAGCCCTTTTAAACAAAATTGATTTCTGAATTATATTTTTAGATTTTTTTTTTTTTTTGAGATGGAGTCTTGCTCTGCTGCCCAGGCTGGAGTGCAGTGGCGCAATCTCGGCCCACTGCAAGCTCCGCCTCCCAGGTTCACGCCATTCTCCTGCCTCAGCCTCCCGAGTAGCTGGGACTACAGGCGCCCCCCACCACACCTGGCAATTTTTTTGTATTTTTAGTAGAGATGGGGTTTCACCATGTTAGCCAGGATGGGCTCGATCTCCTGACCTTGTGATCTGCCCACCTCGGCCTCCCAAAGTGCTGGGATTACAGGCATGAGCCACTGCGCCCGGCTGAAACAAAATTCTTTAAAGACAGAGTCTCACTCTGTTGCCCAGGCTGGAGTGCAGCAGTGTGACCTCGGCTTACTGCAGCCTTGACCTCTTAGGCTCAAGCAACCCTCCTATCTCAGCCATCTGTGTAGCTGGGACTATAGGCATGTGCCACCACATCAGGCTACTTTTTGTATTTTTTGTAGAGATGGGGTTTCACCATGCTGCCCAGGCTAGAAAATACAATGGATTTTTGTTTTTTGTTTTTTTTTTAGACAGAGTCTCGCTCTGTCGCCCAGGCTGGTGTGCAGTGGCGCGATCTTGGCTCACTGCAACCTCCGCCTCCCAGGTTCAAGCTATTCTCCTGCCGCAGCCTCCCGAGTAGCTGAGATTACAGGCATGCGCCACCACCCCCGGCTAATTTTTTTGTATTTTTTGTACAGACAGGGTTTCTCCATGTTGGTCAGGCCGGTCTCGAACTCCTGACCTTAGGCGATCCGCCCTCCTCGGCCTCCCAAAGTGCTGGGATTACTGGCGTGAGCTACTTTGCCCGGCCAGATATTCTTAATTGCCTTGAACCAATAAGCTTCACAGCTTTTGCCAAGGGGCTCAGTGTGTATGTTGGATCACACCTGCAATGCTCCAGGAGACAGTTTATGACTCTCTCCTATCCCTCACTTCCTGTTTGTGCATAGCCTCAAGGCCGATCAGAGATGAGATTTTGGGGCCTTCTCAGGGCTTTCTTGGGCATGTGCACAGCCCTGTGTGTACATGTGTCCTTCTAGAGTCCTAAGAATAAGTCAGAGATTATCAAAGCCCTCTATGGACATCTCATTCCCCAGCTTTTCCTTTTAAACTCTTTGATCATCTTCTTGTTAGCCCCAGCTGGCATTACCACCTTGGGTAGCTGCAATGTTAAGCAATTGCAGCTGTTTTTTTTTTTTTTTTTTTTTTTTTTTCAACAAATGCCATAGGATAGGATCGTTTGCATGGAGCCTGTTCTGAGTCTGTTCAAATAAAGACAAGCCCTAGGAGTAGAGATTTTCAGGGAGCTGACAGATAGATCAAATAGTGACAGTTCTCTGCATTAGGAGTTTGATGATCTCTGACTTATTCTTGAGACTGGAAGGATACATGCGTGGGCAGGGCTGTGCACATGCCCAGGAAAGACCCGAGAAGGCACCAATCTCTCACCTCTCACTGTCCCCTCCAGTGGCTGCTAGGCTGTTGCTTTTTTTTTCTTCTTTTTTTTTTTTTTTTTGAGACGGAGTCTCACTCTGTCACCCAGGCTGGAATGCAGTGGTGAGATTTCGGCTTACTGACACAGCCGCCTCCCGGGTTCAAGTGATTCTCCTGCCTCAGCCTTCCGAGTAGCTGGGATTTTTTTTTTTTTTTTGAGACGGAGTTTCGCTCTTGTTGCCCAGGCTGGAGTGCAGTGGCACTCCATTATCAACGCGATAGAATCTCGTTCTGTCACCCAGACTGGAGTGCAGTGGTGCAATCTCAGCTTACCGTAACCTCCTGCCTCAGGCTTCTGAGTAGCTGGAAGTGATTCTCCTGCCTCAGCCTCCCGAGTAGCTGGGATTACAGACCTGCGCCACCACCACTCCCGGCTAATTGTGTATTTTTAGTAGAGACGGAGTTTCTCCATGTTGGTCAGGCTGGTCTCGAACTCCCGACCTCAGGTGATCCACCCACCTAGGCCTCCCGAAGTGCTGGGATTACAGGTGTGAGCCACCTCGCCTGGCCTCGGCTATTGCTTTTTTTTTTTTTTTTTTTTTTTTTAAAGACAGTATCTCTCTCTGTCACCCATGTTGGAGTGCAGTGGCACAATCTCGGCTCACTGCAACCTCCACCTCCCGGGTTCAAATGATTCTCGTGCCTCAACCTCCTAACTGGAATGACATACACGTGCCACCACGCCCGGCTAATTTTTGTATTTTTAGTAGAGACAGTGTTTCACCATGTTCGCCAAGCTGGTCTCAAACTCCTGAGCTCAAGTGATCCACCCACCTGGGCCTTTCAGAGTGCTGGGATTACAGGCCGTAATATCATTCGGGTAGTTTTCTCAACCAAAAACGTTGAATCTGAACCTAATCATGAACAAACAATCAAATAAATCTGGACTAGGTTTTCTCAACCTCAGCACTACTGACATTTTGGGCTGAGTCATTCTTTGTTTTGGGAACTGTCCTGTGCTTTGTAAGATGTTTAGCAGTATACCTGGCTCCTGCCCACTGGATGCCAGTAACACCTTTCCAGCTGTGACAACTAAGTATCTTCAGGCCGGACATGGTGGCTCGCACCTGTAATCCCAGCACTTTGGGAGGCTGAAGTGGGTGAGACTCTGTCTCAGAAAAAAAAACAAACAAACAAACTGGCCGGGGGCGGTGGCTCATGCCTGTAATCCCAGCACTTTTGGAGGCCGAGGTGGGCAGATCACGAGGTCAGGAGATCGGGACCATCCTGGCTAACGCAGTGAAACCCCATCTCTACTAAAAATACCAAAAATATGAGCCGGGCGTGGTGGCAGGCACCTGTAGTCCCAGCTACTCGGGAGGCTGAGGCAGGAGAATGGCGTGAACCCAGGAGGCGGAGCTTGCAGTGAGCCGAGATCGCACCACTGCACTCTAGCCTGGTTGACAGAGTGAGACTCCGTCTCAAAAAAAAAAAAAAAAAAAAAAACTAACTTGATTTCAAATGTTCCAGTAAAAAGTAAACTCTGTGGGACAATGGGGAGAGGTGAGGAAAAAAGGAAGAAAGAGGATGTGCACAAATGTTGGCAAATTAGCAATTTATGAATTTTATGGAAGAGTATATGGGTGTTCATAGTTATTATTTTTCCTACTTTTTGTTAAGTTTGAGATTTTTCAAAATAAGAGAAATATGATAAAGGTGAAATGTGATAAAATTCATGGAAAAAGTAAATTAAGCAAAGGGGCTGGAAATCACTTAGGGAGTGAATGTAGATAGAGGAGAGAAGGCTGCTAAGGACAGAGTCCTGGGAAGCCAAGTAGATTGACAAGGAGAAAAACCAGGGAGGCTTGAAGCCATGGAAGCTCAAAAAGAATGTATTTCATGAAGGACAAAGTTTTCAACTGCTTCGAATGCTGCTAAGAAGTTCAATAAGATGCCAACAGAAAAATTAAACAAGCAAACATTGGTTTTGGCAAGATGTACAGGTCATTAAAGACCTTGATTAAATAATGAGAACAAAAGCCCAATTGAAGTGGCTTGAGAAAAAGTTGCAGATGAGGAAGAATGAGAACAGAATAGACCACTGTAATGACAAGGTTGATTTGGAAAGAGAACAGAGTCGAGAGTTGAAAGAGGACATGGGCTTGAAGCAGGTTTTTGTTTTATGTCTTTGGAGATGAGTGATATTAAAACATCTTTTTGTTGTTGTTTGTTTTTTTGTTTTTTGAGACAGGATCTCACTCTGTTGCCCAGAGTGCAGTGGCACTCCTGGACTCAAATGATCCTCCCACTTCAGCCCCCCAAGTAGCTGGGACTATAGACACGCACCACTACACTGGCTAATATTTGTAGTTTTTGTAGAGACAGGGTTTCACCACATTGGCCAGGCTGGTCTCGAACTCCTGGGCTTAAGCGATCCTCCTGACTAGGCCTCTCAAAGTACTGAGATTACAAGCATGAGCTACTGCACACAGCTAAGATATGTTTCTATACCAATGGGAAAGATCCACTGGAGTATGAAAGAGGGAAGATTGGCCGGACGCAGTGGCTCACGCCTGTAATCCCAGCACTTTGGGAAGCAGAGATGGGCAGATCACGAGGTCAGGAGTTCGAGACCAGCCTGGCCAACATAGCGAAATCCTGTCTCTACTAAAAATACAAAAATTAGCCGGGCATGGTGGCACACACCTGTAATCCCAGGTACTCAGGAGGCTGAGGTGCGAGAATCGCTTGAACCCAGGAGACAGAGGTTGCAGTAAGCCGAGATTGTGCCATTGCAATCCAGCCTGGGTGACAGAGCGAGACGTCTATCAAAAATAAAAAGAGGGAAGATTACAGGAGCAAATTCTGAGTCAGTGAGAGGGGATTGGATTCAGAGCACTAGTGGAAAGGTTGCATTTGTGGAAAGAGAAGATCAATAGACCTCCTCTGATTGCATCTGTTTTCTCTAGGGATCACTAACAAAAACACCATTGAATTGAGGAGGAAATGTTGGAGATTTGTGGGGGGAGTAATATGAAATAGTGCCTCAGAAAGTAGAAAAATTAGTTTATTAGAAAGTGGATAGAAATAGAATAGTCTGGCTGTGTTGCAGTTCACTTGAGACTTGAGGTCATAAATTTAAAATGATTTAATCTGCATGGAGAAGTGATTTTGCTTACGACATTCACTTGTTTGGGCACAGGTGCAGAGTAAGGATAGTTGGGCTTAACCAGATATATTAGACTCGTATTACTCTTGTATTACTCTTACTGGCTGCTCACACTCAGAACCCCTGTCTTTTTCTTTTCTTTTTTTTTTTTTGAGACAGAGTCTCACTCTGTCACCCAGGCTGGGGTGCAGTGGCATGATCTCGGCTCACTGCGACGTCCGCCTCCCGGGTTCGAGCAATTATCCTGCCTCAGCCTCTTGAGTAGCTGGGATTACAGGTGTGTACCACCATGCCTGGCTAATTTTTGTATTTTTAGTAGAGATGGGGTTTCACCATGTTGGTCAGGCTGGTCTGGAACTCCTGACCTCGTGATCTGCCCATTGGAACCCCTTTCCCCATCCTAACAGGCCTGGTGAATGGCATAACTGTCCTCCCAACATCAATGCTGAAACTGCCAGATACCTACTTTCCCAACCTTCTTTGCAGCTAGGACTGAGCACATGACCTAGGTGTATGTAATCAGATGCACTATCTTAAATTTTGCATTTGGAGCTCAGGAATAAACAGGAGCAGTGGAACACCTCCACTGGCAGCGGTAGAGATGGTGGCAGTAGTGGCAACAGTGCCAGTGGTGGCCTGCAGTTCCCAGTGCCATCAGCAGCATCATTCCAGCACCTACCCCTCTGGAATGCAGCAGAGATATCCTCACCAGACCAGTTCTACATCATAATTTTGGTTGTGGTTTTTACTACATAACCTCAAACCTGGTTCTCCAGCTATCCCAGCCATTCACTGAGCCCATCAATGTCTATGCAATGTGAATACCTCCTTATAAAATGACACATGAATTATCATAAAACCACTGAATTCATTTACAAGTTGAGTGGGCAAGTTCAATTTTTTACAAGCATATTTTGGGGCCTAAATGAGCAAATACAATTTGCCATAATAAATATATTTTACAAGTTTTTTGTTTGTTTTTTTTTTTTTTGAGACGGAGTCTCACTCTGTCGCCCAGGCTGGAGTGCAGTGGCGCGATCTCGGCTCACTGCAAGCTCTGCCTCCTGCGTTCATGCCATTCTCCTGCCTCAGCCTCCCGAGTAGCTGGGACTACAGGCGCCCACCACCGCGCCTGGCTAATTTTTTGTATTTTTAGTAGAGACGGGGTTTCGCCGTGTTAGCCAGGATGGTCTCGATCTCCTGACCTTGTGATCCACCCACCTCAGCCTCCCAAAGTGCTGGGATTACAGACGTGAGCCACCGCGCCCGGCCACAAGTTTTATGATTCCCAAACTCGTGGTTAAAGCTTGCATTCCTGTGAGATTAAACAAAAACAAAAAACCTCTTGGACTCTAACAGATTAATATCTCTTGGAGCCTCTTTACTTCCTTCTCCCTGAAGACGAGTAAACATGCTGAGAGGAACTGTCATCGCAGTGACAAAGAAGCAAGCAAGTATAGTTTAATTATAAATCAGATCTTTGGTGACACCTGGCTAATCCCCAACAGTGCTAACCTTTTCTTTTTCTTTCTTTTTTTAGACAGGGTCTTGTTCTGTCACTCAGGCTGGAGTACAGTGGCACAATTATGGCTTACTGCAGCCTTCAGGCTCAATCTATCCTTCCACCTCAGCCTACTGAATAACAGGTGCATGCCACCATGTCCAGCTTACTTTTTAAATTTTACATAGAGGCAGCATTTCACCATGTTGCCCAGGCTGGTCTTGAACTCCTGGGCTCAAGTGATCCGTCCATCTCAGCCTCCCAAAGTGCTGAAATTATAGGCGTGAGCCACTGTGCCTGGCCTAACATTTTCTTCCTTCTCTTGCCAACATGATAACAACCAGAACAACACTTGCATTCTCAAATAATTTTGGCAAAAATAGGTTTCCTCTCCAGGCTTCTTATCAAATATTATTGTGACCAATAGTTGCTGTTGTTGTTTTAAACCAGGGTTGGATTAAAGTTTTGAGTCTTATAATTTTGAGTCTACATTTCTAGCAAATGGACCTCTTGTTTGTTTTTCTTGTCTCATTGCATATGATAGCACCTTAAGATCGTTATTGAATTGGAGAGGTGAGATGATTGTGGTCATCCTTTCCGTCATGCAACTACGCTTTTCCTTCAGTGATCAGTGTCAATTCATTCTCCAGCATATAGTTGTGGACTATGGAAGAGAGTAAAGCGGGTGGAATCTGAGGTGTATACATTAGCCTAACCTCTCATTTTATTTACCTTGGCTCATTATTCTTCCCTTCACTCTCAGCAATCCCACCTTTGTTTTTCAGACCTCATGCATTAGTGGTTTTTTGTTTGTTGTTTGTTTTGTCTTGTTTTGTTGTTTTCTAGTCTCCATTTTGCAAATGAAGAAAGCAGCCTCCAAAAGCTGAAGGCTGGACGCAGAGAATGAGTGACTGCCAAGTCTATAATCAGAATTTTGTGGCAGTAAGTCCAACCCTTTTTCAGAATACTATTATTCTGCTACTGCTGCCGCCGCTGCATTCTGTGAGTTTGGTTTTTCTTCTAATTTAAGTTCCTACAAGGCAGTAATGAAATTTTTCTATGTTTACATAATGCAAATCACTTAGCCAATGAGGATGGACCTTCATTAAATTCAGTAATAAATTAGTTAAGAAAAAGTTGTTAATTGAGCTTTGAAAAAAACAGAAGTTTTTTTTTTTTTTTTTTGAAATGGAGTCTCGCTCTGTTGCCCAGGCTGGAGTGCAGTGGCTCAAACTCAGCTCACTGCAACCTCTGCCTGCCAGGTTCAAGCGATTCTCCTGCCTCAGCCTTTCAAGTAGCTGGGATTACAGGCCCGTGCCACCATGCCTGGCTAATTTTTGTATTTTTAGTAGAGACAGGGTTTCACTATGTTAGCTGGGCTGGTCTTGATCTCAGGTCATCCACCCGCCTCGGCCTCCCAAAGTGCTGGGATTACAGGCGTGAGCCACCGCGCCTGGCCTGGATGTGGATTTTTTTCTGATGCAATGAGAGGCCATTGGAGGCCATTAGGCAGGAAAATCAAGGATCTCATGTTCAATACCTGCTATAGGCTACATCAGAGCTTTTTCCACCTCTGACATAAGAGATAGCAGCTGCCAAGGGCCTGGGTTCTATTTCCAGAAATCCACGAAATGACCCACTAGCGTGTGATTTTGTATTAAATGTAGCAAGACTGACATACATCAAATCGGGCTGATATATATTTTGCAGTTTGGCACTGACATCCTGGTGTGTAGCTCAGATCACCTCGGGTAGGGCCAGGTGCACAGTGTCTGATGGAAGAGGGGAAGCCTGCCTGCAGGTAGGGGACACAACAGCAAGTGGGGTCATTGCCTTTACCATACTGTGTTGCATTGCAGCTTAAATGGATGCAGCTAAACAGCTTTTTTTCTTCTTTGAGACAGAGTCTTGCTCTGTTGCCCAGGCTGGAGTGCAGTGGTGCGATCTCGGCTCACCGCAAGCTCCGCCTCCCAGGTTCACGCCATTCTCCTGCCTCAGCCTCCCAAGTAGCTGGGACTACAGGCGCCCGCTACCACGCCCGGCTAAATTTCTGTATTTTTAGTGGAGACGGGGTTTCACTGTGTTAGCCAGGATGGTCTTGATCTCCCGACGTTGTGATCCGCCTGCCTCGGCCTCCCAAAGTGCTGGGATTACAGGCATGAGCCACTGCACCTGGCCTTTTTTTTTTTTTTTTCGTTTTGTTTTGTTTTGTTTTGAGACAGAATCTCGCTTTGTCACCCAGGCTGGAGTGCAGTGGCACGATCTTGGCTCACTGCAACCTCTGCCTCCTGGGTTCAAGCGATTCTCCTGCCTCAGCCTCCCGAGTAGCTGGGACTACAGGCTCATGCCACCATGCCCGGCTAATTTTTTTGTATTTTTAGTAGAGATGGGATTTCACCATGTTAGCCAGGCTGCTCTTGATCTCCTGACCTCGTGATCTGCCTGCCTCAGCCTCCCAAAGTGCTGGGATTACAGGTGTGAGCCACTGCGCCCGGCTGAGCTTTTCTGATTATATTATCGTTACCACTAACCCAACCCTCAAAAACTGGACATGGGGCTTGCAAAGATAGACAGATTGAATATAAACTAATAAAGCCAGCACAAGCCACAAAAAAGGAAATAGCAGACCTGATGCTTCTTCTCTTCATAATAGAAGTCCTTCGTTAGCCACATTATAGGTAAAAACATGATCTCATCAGATCTGCCAAAAATCTGGCAAATGAGCAAGAGGGAGTGAGAGAAATTATCAAAAAGAGTGTTTGCAATACATTTGTACATCCCTTATCACTAACAATGCCTTTCACCTTCAGTATATAGTCTGTCCTGAGAAAAATAATAATAGTCGTATGAGTAATTATAAACAAATAATTGGAATAGTTGGCAGCGTGTGCTCAAAAATGTTTTGTTGTTAGTGGTAAAATCACCTAACTCAGGAGATCATTCCAATGCCTGCAAATTTCTTAATGAATCCAGGACTATTTTTTAAAACATTTTTTATTTTTTGAGATAGGGTCTCACTCTGTTGCCCAGGCTGGAGTGCAGCAACTTGATCATAGTTCACTGCAGCCTCCAACTCCTGGGCTCAAGTGATCCTCCCACCTTAGCCTCCTGAGCAGCTGGGACTACAGGTGCATGCCACCACACTCAGCTAATTAAAAAAAAAATAGAGACAAGGTCTCAAAATCCTAGGCTCAAGCAATCCTCCTGCCTTGGCCTCCCAAAGTGCCAAAACTATTCTTGATCCCAGCACAATGTGTGACCCAGAGTAGGTCCTTAATAAATATTTGTTCAGGCCGGGAGCGGTGGCTCACACCTGTAATCCCAGCACTTTGGGAGGCCGAGGTGGGCAGATCACGTGAGGTCAAGAGTTCGAGACCAACCTGGTCAACATGGTGAAACCCCATCTCTACTAAAAATGCAAAAATTAGCTAGGCGTGGTGGCAGGCACCTGTAATCCCAGCTACTCAGAAGGCTGAGGCAGGAGAATCATTTGATCCCAGGAGGCGGGGGCTGCAGTGAGCTGAGATCACGCCATTGCACTCCAGCCTGGGTAACAGGGTGAGACTTTGTCTCAATCAATCAATCAATCAATCAATATTTGTTCGGTGAGTTAGTGAGTGAATGAAGGCATTCAAGATTAGGAACTTGCCAGTATGCCCAGCCTTGCCTCACCTCATCCCGGCCCCCAATGCCATTTCACCCTAAGTGCCCAATATCCAGACTGCTTACTGCTCCCTCAGAGTCTTCCCAGCCCATCTGTCCGACCCTGGCACACCTCTCTCAGCTTATTCCTACAAACCCTTTGGGACTTGAGTGTGAATGGAATCTTTTCTAACAAACCTTCCCTGACCCAACCTCTGCCAGATCTGGGCTGAAGACCCCTTTGGAGCCCTTTTCATATTGTTCGTAATTTTTAGTTTTATTTTTTGGGGCCCACTCCTTGAAGGCAGGATGTAGGTCTGCCACCAGAGTTTCTTTTTTTTTTTTTTTGAGACAGAGTCTGGCTCTGTCCCCCAGGCTGGGGTGCAGTGGCACAATCTCAGCTCACTGCAACCTCCACCTCCCCGGTTCAAGCGATTCCCCTGCCTCAGCCTCCTGAGTAGCTGGGATTACAGGCATGCGCCACCACACCCAGCTAATTTTTGTATTTTCAGTAGAGACGGGGTTTCACCATGTTGGTCAGTCTGGAGCCACCAGGGTTTCAATGAATATTTGCTGGATGAATAAATAAATGGAAGAAAGAATGAAACAGTTGGCTTGGGCATGGTATTCAGGCACAAGTTTACTATTATGATGTCAATCAAAGGCTCGCAGATTCCTCATTAGGTAGAATAAAGTTTACAGGAACCCATCCCTTACTGATGTTAGTCATTTTTCAAGGCTCTAAACTTTGCCTCTGGCCTTGGTTTTGGCACCCATCTTTCTCTGGACCAAGCTGTCTCCTACCACACACCCCTCTTCTCCCTTCCCCTTCTCTCTGTCATCAGATTGCAAGCTTGTACCCTGAGGGCTGTCTCAGGCAGCAAGGATCTGGATCTACAGGCTTGGTGAAGGCACAATTCCTAGTCTCTTGCCTTGAGCACACACAGGAAGTCAGCCACCCAGCCACAGTTATATTTAGATTCCTGTCACCTGATGGGGTCATCTGTTAATCAGGGCATAGTGGTAGGTGCAGCATTTTGGGAGTAAACTGAGGTAGGACCAAGGTAGAGAGGAAGTGAGCAGAAAAGTCAGGTACTGACTCCAGGCTCTTTGGCAGGATGAATATTCATGGCTTACATTACACCTAGAGAGATAGAAGGCAGACCAAAGGAGGAACTTGACTTGAGAGAGAAAACAGTTCTTGGCTTGGGCAGGGTAACGGTGGTGCCCCTGAGAGCAGCAGGAAGAGCTGGCCCCTTGGGGCCTCTTGCAGTCCTGAAGGCCAGTTGGGTGCAGGAGCAGGAGCACGGGCCCCTTTGCTGAGTGAGCGGGGCCGAGTGAGTGGTTTTTTTCCATAGGCAGGAATACCCAGCTGCGGTCAGCAGAAAGAGCTGTGGTCACAGGACCCTGTACACAGGGTAGAAACCAGAAAGAAGCAGACATAGCAGGAATTTTTTTTCAAGCTTCCAAGAGCCTTCTCTGCCCTCGATTTGGTTTATCAAATGACTGCTTTGGGAGCTGGGGGACGGGCCCTAAATTGTCATGGATCCAGTTGCTTCTCCCTCCTTTTCTTTTTCTAACCTCGCCTTCATTTCCAAATGACCCCCTTTTATTTCTAGAATCCACCCCCACCACTATAGTAGGTACCTTGCAAGGAGCTCCTGCCCACACTCCTTTCTTTGGCATCCAATCCATTCCAGATCCTGCTGACAGTGTTGGCTTCCCACAACCCACTCCTTTCTGAAATGCTCGGGTGCTGGCCCATCACCGGGGGATCGTCTACACCCCTCCGTCTGGCTTCTGAGTTCTCCATGTTCTGACTGACACTCACCCTTCCCAACCCCAGGCTCACCTTTCTTTCTTTTTTTTTTTTTTGACAGCTTTATTGAGTTATGATTGACATGAAATAAACCGCACCCATGGCCAGGCGAGGTGGCTCGTGCCTGTAATCCCAGCACTTTGGGAGGCTGAGGCGAGTGGATCACAAGGTCAGGAGATCGAGGCCATCCTGGCTAACATGGTGAAACCCCGTCTCTACTGAAAATGCAAAAAATTAGCCGGGCGTGGTGGCATGCGTCTGTAAACCTAGCTACTCAGGAGGCTGAGGCAGGAGAATTGCTTGAACCCAGGGGGCAGAGGTTGCAGTGAGCTGAGATCGCACCATTGCACTCCAGCCTGGGTGACAGAGCGAGACTCCATCTCAAAAAAAAAAAAAAATCAACTGACTATATATGTGCAGGTCTATTGCTTGACTTTCTTTTCTGTTTCACTGATCTATTTATGTATTACCTGCAACAATAACACATTGTTTTTTTTACTGTAGCTTTATGAGAATTCTTGAATCAAGTAGTAAGTCCTCCAACTTATTCTGCTTCAAAGTTATTTTGGCTATTCTAGGTACTTTGCATTTCTAAATAAATTTTAGAATCAGCTCATTCTACCAAATAAAGCCCACCAAGGTTTTGATTGGAACTGTGTTGATTTTGTAGATCAATTTGTGGAGAATTGAAATCTTACCAATATTGAGTCTTACGATCCATGAATATGATAGAACTTTCATTTATTTTGATTTTCTTTATTTCGATTTTCTTTATTTCTTTCTTAATTTTTTTTTGACAGAGTCTTGCTCTGTCACCCAGGCTGGAGTGCAGTGGCATGATCTCAGCTCACTGCAACCTCCGCCTCCCAGGTTCAAGCAATTCTCCTGCCTCAGCCTCCCCAGTAGCTGGGATTTCAGGCACGTGCCACCATACCTAGCTAATTTTTGTATTTTTAGTAGAGACGGATTTCACCATGTTGGTCAGGCTGGTCTCGAACTCTGACCTCAAATGGTCCACCGGACTTGGCCTCCCAAAGTGCTGGAATTACAGGTGTGAACCACAGCATCCGGCCCTTTTAGTACTTTTTAAATGTTGCTTTAGCATCTTCTGCATCACATTAACTCCCAAAAAGAAGATTGCTGTCATTTTTATATTTGTTTTTTTCTCTGGCTGCTTTTATATCTTCTCTTCATTGCTGTTTGTAAGTAGCCCGATTAAGATGCACCTTGGGCTGGGCGTGGTGGCTCACGCCTGTAATCCCAGCACTTTGGGAGGCCGAGGCGGGCGGATCATGAGGTCAGGAGATCGAGACCATCCTGGTTAACACGGTGAAACCCCGTCTCTACTAAAAAAATACAAAAAAATTAGCCGGGCATTGTGGTGGGCACATGTAGTCCCAGCTACTCGGGAGGCTGAGGCAGGAGAATGGCGTGAACCCAGGAGGCGGAGCTTGCAGTGAGCCGAGATCGCGCCACCGCACTCCAGCTTGGGTGACAGAGCGAGGCTCCGTCTCAAAAAAAAAAAAAAAAAAAAAGATGCACTTTGATTAGTGTTCTTCATGATTCTTGTGCTTTGGGTTCATTGAGCTTGCTGGGTGGGTGTATTATCTACGGGTGTATCATTCTCATCAAGTTAGGAAAAATTTTTCCCTTATTTCTTTGAATATATTTTTCTGTACCTCCTCCTTTTGGAAATGGAGTCTCGGTTATTGGAAACTCCAGTTACACGTACATTAGGCTTCTGGAAGTTATCCCCCAACTCACTGTCATTTATTCTCAGCCGTTGTCTTTCTCTGTATTTCACTTCAGATTACTTTCTTTTCCTTTTTCTTTTTTCTTTCTCTCTTTTTTTTTTTTTGAGAAGGAATTTCACTCTTGTTGCCCAGGCTGGAGTGCAGTGGCGTGATCTCGGCTCACCGCAACCTCCACCTCCCAGGTTCAAGTGATTCTCCTGCCTCAGCCTCCTGAGTAACTGGGATTACAGGCATGCACCACCACGCCCGGCTAATTTTGTATTTTTAGTAAAGACTGGGTTTCTCTATGTTGGCCAGGCTGGTCTCGAACTCCTGACCTCAGGTGATCCGCCTTCCTCGGCCTCCCAAAGTGCTGGGATTACAGGTGTGAGCCACCACGGCCCGCCCGGATAATTTCTATTACTGTGTCAAATTCATTAATCTGTGGTCTGCAGTGTGTAATCTGCTGCAAATTCCATTCAGTGTACTTTTCATCTCTAGAAGAGATAGATGATAGATACACTCATATATACATACATAGTCTATCAGTATCTATATATCTTCTATGTCTCTACATAACATGCTCTTGTCCACTAATCTCATCATCTCTGTTATTCCTGGGTCTGTTGCAATTGATTTTTCTCTTCATCATGAAAGTATTTTTCAGATTTATTGAATACTTGGTAATTTTTCACTGAGGGATGTTATTTTAGATAAAATCAAAGCCTCTCTGAGGAGGGCAACATTAGGTTGGAAAATAAGAATAGTTGACCCTTTAACAACACAGGGGTTAGGGGTGCCAACCCCTGGTGCAGTTGACATCCCACATGTTATTGGTAAGGCTTCTGGTCAATAGTAGGCTTAACTGCTAATAGCCTGCTGTTGACCAGAAGCCTTACCAATAACATTAACAATCGATTAACACATTTTGTATGTTATATGTATTATATACTGTATTCTTACAGTAAAGTAAGATAGAGAAAAGAAAATGTTATTAAGAAAATCATAGGCCAGGTGCAGTGGCTCACACCTCTAATCCCAGCACTTTGGGAGGCTGAGGCAGGCAGATTACTTGAGGCCAGGAATTCGAGACCACCTGACCAACATGGCAAAACTCCATCTCTACCAAAAATACAAAAATTAGTCGGACATGGTGGTGGGCTCCTGTAATCCAAGCTATTTGGGAGGCAGAGGCAGGAGAATTGCTTGAACCTGGGAGGCAGAGGTTGCAGTGGGCAGAGATTGCACCACTGTACTCCAGCCTGAGCGACACAGCAAGATTCCGTCTCAAAAAAAAAAAAAAAAAAAAGGCCAGGTGCAATGGCTCATCATACCTGTAATCCTAGCACTTAGCACTTTAGGAGGCCGATGTGGGTGGATCACCTGAGGTCGGGAGTTCGAGACCAGCCTGACCAACATGGAGAAACCCCATCTCTACTAAAAATACAAAATTAGCCGGGTGCGGTGGCGCATGCCTGTAATCCCAGCTACTCAGGAGGCTGAGGCAGGAGAATCACTTGAACCCGGGAGGCAGAGGTTACAGTCAGCTGAGATCACGCCATTGCACTCCAGCCTGAGGCAACAAGAGCGAAACTCTCTCAAAAAAAAAAAAAGAAAGAAAGAAAAAGAAAAAAGAAAATCATAAAGAAGACAAATTATATTTACTATTCATGACATGAATATTTAAGAATATTTGTTTTATTTTTTTACATTTAAATTTTAACTAAAATCTGGAATTAGTTTTGATGTGTGAAATATGATTCCAATTTTACCAACGAATTTTTTTCCCCTTCCGCCAGCACTTGGCAACCATCATTCTACTTTCTCTTTGTATGAATTTGCCAATTTTAGGTACCTCAATATAAGTGGAATCATACAATTTTTTTTTTTTAAAGACAGAATCTCGCTCTGTCACCCAGGTTGGAGTGTAGTGGCACGATCTCAGCTCACTGCAACTTCTGCCTCCCGGGTTCAAGTGATTCTCCTGCCTCAGACTCCTGAGTAGCTGGGATTACAGGCATGCACCACCATGCCCAGCTAATTTTTGTATTTTTAGTAGAGACGGGGTTTCACCATGTTGACCAGGCTGGTCTCAAACTCCTGACCTCAAGTGATCTGCCTGCTTCGGCCTCCCAGAGTGCTGGGATTACAGGCGTGAGCCACCGCGCTCAGGCACAATGTTTATTTTTTATGTCTGGCTTGCTTCACTTTAGTATTGCATCCTCCAGATTCATTCCTGGTGTCGCATGTACCAGAACTTCCTCTCTTATTAAGGCTGAATAATATTCCACTGTATTTTTTTTTTAATTGAGATGGAATCTCACTCTGTCACCCAGGCTGGAGTACAGTGGCGCGATCTCGGCTCACCGCAAGCTCTGCCTCCTGGGTTCAAGCGATTCTCCTGCCTCGGCCTCCCAAGTAGCTGGAATTACAGGCGCCCACCACCAAGCCAGGCTAATTTTTGTATTTTTAGTAGAGACGAGGTTTCACCATGTTGACCAGGCTGGTCTGGAACTCCTGACCTCAGGTGATCCACCTGCCTCGGCTTCCCAAAGTGCTGGGATTACAGGTGTGAGCCACGGCGCCGGGCCTCCATTGTATTTCTATAACCACATTTTGTGTCTCCATTCATTCATTGGTGGATACTTGGGTTGCTTCCACATTTTGGCTATTGTGAATAACACTGCTATGAACATGGATGTACAAATATCTCTTTGAGCTCCTGCTTTCAATTCTTTGGAGTACAGACCCAGAAGTGGAATTGCTGCTGGATCACATGGAATCTTAATTTTTGAGGAACTTCCATACTGTTTTCCATAGCAGTTGTGCCATCTTACATGCCCACCAAGAGTGCACAGGCAGATTCTTTGTCTCTCTCTCTCTCTCTCTCTCTTCTCTTTCTCTTTCTCTCTCTCTCTCTCTCTCTCTGTGTGTGTGTGTGTGTGTGTGTATGTCTAGTAGCCATCCTAATGGGTGTGAGATGCGGGTATAAGGGCTTCTTGTCTGGTTTAACAATTAGCCGATGAAGGGATGATGGCCGCCATCTGGTGGTAGAAGTGAGAATGTTTCCAACCTTTTGGCAATTTATAATATCTACTGAGCATCCCAGGACGAGTCTGGATGAAGGTAGAGGCAGGGTTTGGCAGCACCAGCCAGGCTGTAACTTTTTGAAACTCTCTTCAGTTCAGTGGGTACTGAAGTGTGTACTTTTTTTTTTTTTTTTTTTGAGACGGAGTCTCGCTCTGTCCCCCGGGCTGGAATGCAGTGGTGCGATCTCGGCTCACTGCAAACTCCGCCTCCTGGATTCAAGCGATTCTCCTGCCTCAGCCTCCCGAGTAGTTGGGATTACAGACGCGCGCCTCCACGCCCAGCTAATTTTTGTATTTTTTTTAGTAGAGACAGGGTTTCACCATATTGGCCAGGCTGGTCTTGAACTCCTGACCTCGTGATCCACCCGCCTCGGCCTCCCGAAGTGCTGGGACTACAGGCGTGAGCCACCGCGCCCGATTGAAGTGGGTTCTTCTCCCCACTCAGCTTTGGGAGTGACAGGGCAGAGACCGTGGGCAGAGCTCCCCACACCTTTTTTCGTGAGGGCTCCAGGATGCCCCCACGCAGCTGGAATTCCCTCACAGACTCCCCAGAGTCCTTCTTTAGGGAATCCCTGGGACTCCTTTGAGGTAACCTTGTCTTTTCCGGTTCAGTTCTGGAATGCAAAGGCCTCCCTGGCCTGGAGAATATCAAAGGCTGCTCCCGCTCTACGGGGGCCCTGCCTTGTGGCTTTGAGAGGCTTCTTGCCCACAGAGTCTCTGGGATCCAGCCTTGCTTTCTGCCTCCTCCCTTCCTGGCTGTCCCTGACGCAAGCCCTGAGATCTATCACATCAAAGAGGTTCATTGCCAAATTCAGCAGGAAACCCAGGTTATAGGTAACAATCTAGCAGCGGAAGCTCTAGTATCTCTCAGAAATATGAGGGCTCTTGTTCTTGGTCTACAAACTGCTCCTGAAGCCCCTTTTCTCTCAGAAGTTCTACTGACCTGGCCAGGCAGGGTGGCTCATGGCTATAGTCCCAGCTATTGGGAGGCTATGGTGGGAGGCTCATTTGAGGCCAGGAGTTTGAGGCTGTAGTGAACCATGATCATGCCACTCCACAGCCTGGGCAACAGAGTGAGACCATCACAAAAAAAAAAAAAAAAAAAAAAAAAAAAAAAAAAAAGGGTGTGAGCAGTGCCTCACACCTGTAATCCCAGCACTTTGGGAGGCAGGCAGATCACAAGGTCAGGAGATCGAGACCATCCTGGCCAATATGGTGAAACCCTCCCTGTCTCTACTAAAAATACAAAAATATTAGCCAGGCGTGGTGGCACACACCTGTAGTCCCAGCTACTTGGGAGGCTGAGGCTGGAGAATCGCTTGAACACAGGAGGCGGAGGTTGCAGTGAGCTGAGATCTCACCACTGCACTCTAGCCTGGGCGACAGGGTGAGACTCTGTCTGAAAAAAAAAAAAAAAAGGTCTACTGACCTGATCTTCTTTCGAATTTCTCAGCCTCAGCCATCTCTCATAGAGAGGGAAGTTTGTGTTTCGTCAGAAAGCTGTGCAGTATATAAACTCTAGGGCAGCATCGGGGACTAGTTTTGTGGCACCAGGGACTGATTTCATGGAAGACAATTTTTCCATGGAGCAGCAGAGTATGGTTTCAGGATCATTCAAGCTCATTATATTTATTGTGCCCTTTATTTCTATTATCATTACATTGTAATTATAATGAAATAATTATACAACTCACCGTAACGTAGCATCAGTGGGAGCCCTGAACTTGTTTTTCTTCAACTAGACAGTCCCATCTGGGGGTGATGGGAGACAGTGACAGATCATCAGGCATCAGATTCTCATAAGGAGCGCGGAACCTAGATCCCTGGCATGCGCAGTCCACAATGGTGTTCTCACTCCTATCATAATCCAATGCCCCTGCTGATCTGACAGGAGGCGGATTTCAGGCAGTCATGCAAGAAGCTGTAAATACAAATGAGGCTTCGCTCACTCACCCAATACTCACCTCCTGCTATGCAGCCCAGTTCCTAACAGGCCCCGGACCCCTGTTCTAGAGGATCTATTTCTGGGTTATCTGATCTCAATTCTCTGTAAAGTATGGATGACTGATAGCAATGCAAAAATAATTCTTGTTTATAGAGGGGGATATTCTGTCCAGTCCTATAGAAGTTGCATTGATTTTCTTCCCTACCCCCTTTGTTAAAAAACAGTTTGCTTACATTTGCTCGTCCTGCTACCCAAATGAACTTGGGTCTGCCTGCCTGACCCAGCAAAACTAAAACACTGGCATGAGGATTGCAGCCAGAGAAAGTGGGGCATTTATTGCAGGGTGCCAAGCGAGGAGAATCTGGCAGATCCTGCTTAAGACCTGAACTTTCTGATGGCTTACAGACAAAGGTGTTTATTTTTTATATTTATTTATTTTTGAGGCAGGGTCTTGCTCTGTCACCCAGGCTGGAGTGCAGTGGCGTGATCTCGGCTCACTGCAACCTCCGCCTCCCGGGTTCAAGCGATTCTCCTGCCTCAACCTCCCAAGTAGCTGGGATTATAGGCATGCGCCACCACACCTGGCTAATTTTTGTATTTTTAGTAGAGATGGGGTTTCATCATGTTGGCCAGGCTGGTCTTGAACTCCTGATCTCAGGTGATCCGCCCGCCTCAGCCTCCCAAAGTGCTGGGATTACAGGCGTGAGCCACCATGCCCGGCCAGGCAAGGGTTTTTAAAGGCAGAGAGGCAGAGGTTACAGGCAAAGTTGTAAATCAATACATACAGGCTATACATTGATTTTACCTAAAAAGGAGGGACATCTCAAAGGGAGGGAGACCACAGGTCATAGGTAGGTTCAAAGATTTTCTGATTTGCAATTGGTTCAGGAGGCGAAGCTTTGTCTAAAAATTTGGGGTCAGCAGAAAAGAATGTTAGCTCTGGCTCCTGGGCATGACTTCCTCTAGGCCCCTCAGGAAGAAATTTGGAACAAAGACCAGAAGTCAGAGTTCAGTTCTCAGCTGCCCTTATCTGAAGTCTACGGGCCAGCAGATCCATTTGGTGGGTGTCCGGATTTCTGAAAAACAACTCAGGGACATGGGTAACAAAACGTCTCCTCACTCTAACTTCCTTGGCTATTTTTTGTTAGTGTTTTGTTTTGTTTTGTTTTGTTTTTTTGTTTTTGAGACAGAGTCTCGCCCTGTCATCCAGGCTGGACTGCAATGGTGCAATCTTGGCTCACTTCAACCTCCGCCTCCCAGGTTCAAGCAATTCTCCTGCCTCAGCCTCCCAAGTAGCTGGGATCACAGGCACCCACCACCACACCCAGCTAACTTTTTTTGTATTTTTAGTAGAGACAGGGTTTCCCCGTGTTGGCCAGGCTGGTCTTGAACTCCTGAACTCAGGTGATCCTCCCTCTTTGGCCTTCCAAAATGCTAGGATTACAGGCGTGAGCCACCGCGCCTGGCCTTGGCTATTGTTTTAAGCTACTATTACCTTCCTGCTTATCAAGTTACTCATTTACTTCTCAGGGCTAGCTAGGTGCCTGGAATTTTCTTTGAAGGAACTCAAGATTTTCCTTTATTTCCATGCTTAAAAGGGCTCTCAGGCCCCTAAAACGGGTCCCTGCTCTATCTCAATTTGTTTCAATAACCTTGATTTATAAATGTTATCTGGTCTTTGGATTTTCTTTTAAACCTCTTATAACATTGGCCTTCTTTTTTTTTTTTTTTTTTCGGACAGGATCTCCCTCTGTTGCCCAGGCTGCAGTGGCTTTCTTCCCTCATTGATTAATAAGTGGAATAAAAAATTTTTTTTTGAGACAAAGTCTTGCTCTGTTGCCCAGGCTAGAGCACAGTGGCTCGGTCTCGGCTCACTGCAACCTCTGCCTCCCAGGTTCAAGTGATCCTCCTGCCTCAGCCTCCTGAGCAGCTGGGATTACAGGTGCCCACCACCACGTCTAGCTAATTTTTGTATTTTTAGTAGAGACAAGGTTTCACCATCTTGGCCAGGCTGGCGTTCATTTTTATATCTTCATGAGATTCATAGTTCTATCTTTTATTTAAAATTATCTTTTTGTTGTTGTTGTTTTTGTTTCTGAGACAGAGTTTCGCCCTTGTTGCCAAGGCTAGAATGCAGTGGTGCAATCTCAGCTCACTGCAACCTCCACCTCCCAGGTTCAAGCAATTCTCCTGCCTCAACCTCTCGAGTAGCTGGGATTACAGGTGCCCACCACCACGCCTGGCTCACTTTTGTATTTTTAGTAGAGACAGAGTTTTACCATGTTGTCCAGGCTGGTCTCGAACTCCTGATCTCAGGTGATCCACCCGCCTCGGCCTCCCTAAGTGCTGAGATTACAGGCGTGAGCCACCATGCCTGGCCTACTTTGGCTTTTTTCTTTTTTTTCTTTAGACGGAGTTTTCGCTCTTGTTGCCCAGGGTGGAGTACAATGGCGCGATCTCGGCTCACCGCAACCTCCGCTTCCCAGGTTCAAGCGATTCTCCTGCCTCAGCCTTCCCGAGTAGCTGGGATTACAGGCATGCGCCACCATGCCTGGCTAATTTTGTATTTTTAGTAGAGACGGGGTTTCTCTATGTTGGTCAGGCTGGTCTTGAACTCCCGACCTCAGGTGATCCACCCGCCTCCGCCTCCCAAAATGCTGGGATTACAGGCATGAGCCACCGCGCCTGGCCTACTTTAGCCTTTTTCAAGAAAGAATTGCTACCAGGGGCAGGAGAGAGTGGACAATGGTTACAGTGTTTCACTTTAGGAAGATGAAAAAGTTCTGGGCTGGGTGCAGTGGCTCACACCTGTAATCCCAGGACTTTGGGAGGCCAAGGCAGGTGGATCAGGAGGTCAGGAGTTGGAGACCAGCCTGGCCAACATAGTGAAACCCCATCTCTACTAAAAATACAAATGGCTGGGCATGGTGGTGGGGACCCAGCTACTCGGAAGGCCGAGGCAGGAGAATCGCTTGAACCCGGGAGGCAGAGGTTGCGGTGAGCCGAGATCGCACCATTGCACTCCGGCCTGGGCAACAAGAGCGAAACTCCGTCTCAAAAAAAAAATTAAAAAAAAAAAAGATTAAAATAAGCCTTATGGTACATACATTTTACCATGATTTTTTTTAAAGAAAACGATTTGCTAATTTTGTCATGAGCGGTACAAGGTTACAGATAACCAGGTCCACGTGTGTTTGCGTCTTTCCACAGTGTCACGCTTTTATTCATGCTACTTAAATCACAAAAGCCACAGGCTACGTGGAGTTCCCAAGGAGGCAATTCTCCTTAGTACTTCCCATCACTCAGTAGTCAGCTGCGGGCACACAGGCTCCAGCCAGTCCACAATAATTAAGTCAATACTGCAAACCGTACAGAATAACATACTTAATTGATATATAAGTGTTATGTAGTAAACATCCCACAACAAACAAAGTAACATTTAACATCAAGAGGAAAAAGAGGAGAAAGGGTTAAGGAACCAGTCCAGGGGGAGCAGGAAGACCAAAGGAGTCCTGGTCTGGTGGTCTGGTAGTCTCTGGGCCCCGTTAGATCTTGCAAGGAGGAGTCTTTAATGTGGCCGAGCTTTTGGGGGTCAAATGCTGAGTTGTTTTGGTTTGTTTTTTGAGACGGAGTTTCACTCTTGTTGCCCAGGCTGGAGTGCAATGGCGTGATCTTGGCTCACCGCAACCTCCGCCTCCCAAGTTCAAGTGATTCTTCTGCCTCAGCCTCCCAAGTAGCTGGGATTGCAGGCACACACCACCACACCCAGCTAATTTTTGTATTTTTAGTAGAGACGGGGTTTCACCGTGTTGGCCAGGCTGGTTTCAAACTCCCAGACTCAGGTGATCCACCCGCCTCGGCCTCCCAAAATGCTGGGATTACAGGCATGAGCCACCTCGCCCAGCCAAATGCTGAGTTCTTATCATGAGTGATGATGATGAGTTATGGCTATTTCAAGCTGCTAGAGGCCTGCTTTTTTTTCTTTTTCTTTTTCTTTTTCTTTGAGATGGAGTCTTGCTCTGTCACCTAGGCTGGAGTGCAGTGGCATGATCTTGGCTCACTGCAACCTCCGCTTCCCGGGTTCAAGCAATTCTCCTGCCTCAGCCTCCCAAGTAGCTGGAACTACAGGCGAACGCCACCATGCCCGGCTAATTTTTGTATTTTTAGTAGAGATGGGGTTTCACTATGTTGGTCAGGCTGGTCTCCAACTCCTGACCTTGTGATCCACCTGCCTCGGCCTCCCAGAGTGCTAGGATTACAGGCATGAGCCATTGCACCCAGCCAGCCAAGGCCTGATGTTTTATAGTTACAGAGTCCTCTGATGAGAACTGATGGTGGAAGAGTGTGCTTGTTTGTATCTTTATCTGGTTGGATGCAGTCTTTTTTTTTTAAATTTGTTTCTTAAGCAAAACATCTTATCCTAATTGGCAAAGTGCTGTATGAAATATAAAATGGAGTATTTTTCTAAGATGGAGTTAGTTACGTCAAGGGTGTTCTATACAAGTTTGAATACTTTTCTGGTGGGTTCCCATGGGGAAAGCCAAAATTAGTCAAGATTTCACAGGTTCTCAGAGCCTGAACCTTTTTTAGTGTGTGTGATTTTTAAAAATAGACCTTCTTCCTCCTACCCCACCCCCTCAGTTCTCAACCGAACAACAAACAATGACTGTGACCTCACCATTGATAAGGTTTCAAGGACCAGAATAGAGGAGATGGAAGGAGACTTGCTATTGTTGTGTAAGGATTGTTTTGGTAGCAAATGGTGGCAGCCTTCCTGGAACTGACTTAGACATAAACAAAAAAGTACTGAGACCGGGCATGGTGGCTCACACCTGTAATCCCAGCACTTTGAGAGGCCGAGGCAAGCGGATCACCTGAGGTCAGGAGTTCGAGACCAGCCTGGCCAACATGGTGATATCCTGTCTCTACTAAAAACTACAAAAATTAGCCAGGCATGGTGGCTCACACCTGTAGTCCCAGATACTTGGGAGGCTGAGGCAGGAGAATCGCTTGAACCCGGGATGGGGAGGTTGCAGTGAGCCAAGATTGCACCACTGCACTCCAGCCTGGGCAACAGAGTGAGCCTCTGTCTCAAAAAAAAAAAAAAAAAAAAAAAAGTACTGGGAGGATCCTGCAGGTGTTGAAGGGTGTATTCACTTCCTGTTTCTGCTGTAGCAAAATATCACACGTTTGATATTCTCTTACAGATCTGGAGGTGCTAAAGTTCAGCAGTCTGAAATGTATTGGCAGGCAGGTTCTTTCTGCAGGCTCTGGGGAAGAACCTATTTCCCTGCCTTCTTCACCTCCTAGAGGCCACCTGCATTCCCATGTGGCAGTGGGGAATGAAAACAGGAAAGTGGCAGCTCTGACCGAAAGCAATGTGATTGATAAAGAGGGTGGGCAGTGGGGGGACATTTCCTCAAAAGAAAGGATTGCTATTCACCGAAGAGGGAGTGAAGTCCTGGGAAGGCAAGATAACAGGTGTGCACTCAGCTGTGATAGAGAGGCCGACCAGGCACGCTGTTTGCAGCAAAATGGGCGTTATGCTTTGCCCCTGGAGGCGTGGAAGTGGGGCAAGAGGGTAGAGAAAAAGTTGTTCCAGCCACTACGGATGTGTAACAAGTTACTGCAAATCTTGTTGACTTAAAATAGCCACTTGGTTTGCTCATGATTTTGTGGGCCAGGAATTTAGACAGGACTGAGCCTGGCAGGTCTCACTCAGTGTTTCCCTAGCAGCTGCTCAGATGTCATCTGAAGGCCCCACAGGGCTGGACGTCCAAGATGGCTCACTCACATGGCTGGCATGGGTTGTGTCCAGGTAGCTCAGCTGGGGCTGCCAACCCAGGGCTCTGCATGGCTTCTCCAGCATGGCGGGGTCTCAGAGTAGCTGGACTTCTTATGTGGTAGCTGGCTTCCCCCTCCCACTGAGTGGGAATCTTAAGAGGACGAACTGGAAACTTCATAATTTTTTTTTTCTTTGAGATGGAGTCTCACTCTGTTGCCCAGGCTGGAGTGCAGTGGCCTGATCTCGGCTCACTGAAACCTCCACCCCTGGGTTCAAGCGATTCCCCTGCCTCAGCCTCCCGAGTAGCTGGGATTACAGGTGCCCGCCACAGCGCCCGGCTAATTTTTGTATTTTTAGTAGAGACAGTGTTTCACCATCTTGGCTGTTACACGCCTCCGTATAAGAGACCACCTGAGCAGGCTTAGTGGAGCAACAAGGCTGTTTATTCACTTGGGTGCAAGTGGGCTGAGTCAGAGAAAGGAGTCAGCGAAGGGTGGTGGGAGTGGAACTGGTTCTATAGGTTTGGGGTAGGTAGTGGAAAGTTACAGTTAGGGGCAGTTTTTTTGGGCAGGGGAAGAATGTTACAAGGTGCATAGTCACAAGGTGGGGGAAGTCATAAGGCACGATATCACAAGGTGGATGGATTAGTTGGGGAAGGGCAGGAACATATCACAAGGTGGATGGATTAATTAGGGTAGGGAAGGAACATATCACAAGGTGGATGGATTAGTTAGGGTAGGGCAGGAACATGTCACAGTGGTGGATGGATTAGTTGGGGAAGGGCAGGAACATATCACAAGGTGGATGGATTAGTTAGGGTAGGGAAGGAACATATCACAAGGTGGATGGATTAGTTAGGGTAGGGCAGGAACATGTCACAGTGGTGGATGGATTAGTTAGGGTAGGGCAGGAACATGTCACAAGGTGGATGGATTAGTTAGGGTAGGGCAGGAACATGTCACAAGGTGGATGGATTAGTTGGGGAAGGGCAGGAACAATCACAAGGTGGATGGATTAGTTGGGGAAGGGCAGGAACATATCACAAGGTGGATGGATTAGTTGGGGAAGGGCAGGAACATGTCACAATGGTGGATGGATTAGTTGGGGAAGGGCAGGAACATGTCACAATGGTGGATGGATTAGTTGGGGAAGGGCAGGAACATATCACAAGGTGGATGGATTAGTTAGGGTAGGGCAGGAACATGTCACAGTGGTGGATGGATTAGTTGAGGAAGGGCAGGAACATGCCACAAGGTGGATGGATTAGTTGGGGAAGGGCAGGAACATATCACAAGGTGGATGGATTAGTTAGGGTAGGGCAGGAACATGTCACAGTGGTGGATGGATTAGTTGAGGAAGGGCAGGAACATGCCACAAGGTGGATGGATTAGTTGGGGAAGGGCAGGAACATATCACAAGGTGGATGGATTAGTTAGGGTAGGGAAGGAACATATCACAAGGTGGATGGATTAGTTGGGGAAGGGCAGGAACATATCACAGTGGTGGATGGATTAGTTGGGGAAGGGCAGGAACATATCACAAGGTGGATGGATTAGTTGGGGAAGGGCAGGAACATATCACAGTGGTGGATGGATTAGTTGGGGGAAGGGCAGGAACATATCACAAGGTGGATGGATTAGTTAGGGTAGGGCAGGAACATATCACAGTGGTGGATGGATTAGTTGGGGAAGGGCAGGAACAATCACAAGGTGGATGGATTAGTTGGGGAAGGGCAGGAACATATCACAAGGTGGATGGATTAGTTGGGGAAGGGCAGGAACATGTCACAATGGTGGATGGATTAGTTGGGGAAGGGCAGGAACATGTCACAATGGTGGATGGATTAGTTGGGGAAGGGCAGGAACATATCACAAGGTGGATGGATTAGTTGGGGAAGGGCAGGAACATATCACAAGGTGGATGGATTAGTTGGGGAAGGGCAGGAACATATCACAAGGTGGACTGTTGCAAGGTCGGTTAATCATTAAGGCAGGAACTAGCTGTTCCGTCTTCTTTAGTGGTTCTCCTGTTGCTCCAGGCTTTGTGACTCCAGGAGGCCTGTAACGTGTGGGTCACAGGGGTCACAATGGCTCGACCATGGGGTAGCCCATTCAGGGGACCTTCCACTGGCCAGGTTGGTCTTGAACTCGTGACCTCATGATCCACCCGCCTCGGCCTCCCAAAGTGCTGGAATTACAGGCGTGAGCCACCGCGTCCCGCCCAAAGCTGCATAATTTTTTATCCTCAAAAGTTAAGCAGCTTTCCTTCCCCTACAGTCAGTGTTATAAGTGAGTCACTAACGTCAGCCCACTTTTGAGTAGAGGGGACATAGATTCCCACAGCTCAATGGGAGGAGTGTCAAAAAAATGTATGAGCATATTTTAAAACCATTGCAAAGTATGTCATGGGGAGAGTGTCCAGAGGAGAGATGACTGAGTTGGGTTAAATTGCCAGGCCAGGCACAGTGGCTCATGTCTGTAATCCCAGCATTTCGGGAGGCCGAGGCGGTAAAATCTCTTGAGGCCAGGAGTTTGAGACCAGCTTGGGAAACATAGCGAGACCCCCATCTCTACAAAAAATTTAAAAATTAGCCAGGTGTGGTGGTGCATGCCTATGGTCCCAGCTACTTGGGAGGCTTAGGTGAGAGGATCGCTTGAGCCCAGGAGTTCGAGGCTGCGTTGGGCCACGACTGCACCACTGCACTCCAGCCTGAGTGACAGGGTGAGACCGTCTCAAAAATAAATGAATAAATAAATAAATTGCCAGGCCACAGAAAATGCTTAAGTATTACAACTGGTAAATCATAAGAGTTATGGTTGATGTGGCTCCCAGTCAGTTGAGTGGTAATGGGGCTGGTGGACTCATGTTTGGGAACGAAGAAGAGAGAAGGTTCAAGAGTGAGAACTGAAATCACTGCTGTCTCTCCATCCCTGTCCCAGGGGAAAATCCATTGCCCAGCCATTACCAGCTCCTTGAGACTGCCTGCATTTCTTGGCTCGAGACCCCTTCTTCGGATCTCCCCAGTCTCTTGCCTCTGCCAGCACATCCCCTGCCACTGACCCTGACTCTCCTGTATCCCTCTCAGAAGGATCTTGTGATTACATGGGGTCCATGTCGATAATCCTGCATGACTTCCCCACTTCAAAATCCTTAGTCATATCTGCAAAATCCCTTTCACCATCTAAAATAACATACTCATGGGTTCTGGGGTTTAGGGGCCCAATGCTCCTAGTACCTTTCATGGGAATCTTTACCTCCAGAAATGGGGAGAAGTGGGCAGGGACTCCCTTCATACACAAGACACGGCTGCCTCCTGCCACAACCCCAAATACTTATACACTTGCCTTTTTACATCTGAGCTGGAACGACCCCACCTCAATGTCATGGGGCCAGGGTGGGAGACAGAGGAGCTACAACATCTGCTTGGCTATTGTTAGGGACAAACAAAGCAGCCACGGTTGCTTAGTGATGACTTCTGGTTCCACCTGAGTGCTTTGGCCACCCATATTGCTCTCAGAGCTCTTTAAAGATGAGTTATTGTGCCCGGAGTGGTGGCTGATGCCTGTAATCCCAGGACTTTGGGAGGCTGAAGTGGACAGATCACCTGATGTTAGGAGTTCAAGACCAGCCACCTAACCAACATGGAGAAACCCCATCTCTACTAAAAGTACGAAATTAGCAGGGCATGGTGGCGCATGCCTGTAATCCCAGCTACTCTGGAGGCTGAGGCAGGAGAATTGCTTGAACCCAGGAGGTGGAGGTTGCAGTGAGCCAAGATCGCGCCATTGCACTCCAGTCTGGGCAATAAGGGCGAAACTCTGTCTCAAAAACAAAAACAAAAACAAACAAAAACCCCCACCTTTTTAAAAACTGCAATAAAATCTATTAATGTTCTAATTATATGTTGTATCTTATGATTTCTCTTTCTTCAGTTTTTTTCTCATGATGGGGATTAATTGACACTTGTGAGTGGCACAAAGAATAACACCTCATTTTACACATGACTTAGATGACTGAGTGAGAAGAAACAAAACGGCAGAAGCTGGGTGCCACCCGGATGTTGACAAAAAGGTTGAGTCATGAGATGAAGGGTGGACTGGAATCCCTTCTGAGTGTCCTCTAGCCTGATGGTCTCTGTAGCTTTAAGAGGTGAACATCTTGTGTGTCCAGCCATCCCTACGGGGAGGTCAGAGGGACCAGAATCCTGAGGAGAAAGCACCACAGGTGACCACTAGAGGGTGCCCTTCATTCTCCTTGACACCCTCTGGTCCAGCCGCTAATCTAGGGCCCTCAGGGACCTCTTTAGTTGCCCAGACCAGCAGGTGGCATTTCAGATGTGCAGAAAGAACACAACCGCCCCAACTTCCTGCCCTCCTCTTGTGGTGGAAAGACAAATGGTGGAGTCGGGGAAGAATGTAGATAGCAAGGAAGTGGGTAGATCCAGATGCCGTGGTGTGTGTCCCTAAACTTTGCTCTCAAGCCTCTGACTGCCCAACACATTCACTCTTGATCAGCCATGCAACCATCTCTTTCTCTCCAAATACTATGGCTGCTTTGTGTCTGTCCACATTCTGTCCATTTGGTGAGCTCCTACACATCCTTCAAGGCCCAGTTCAAATGCTACCACTCAGACCCTTTCTTCTCTCCCACTTTTGTGCTTCCACAGCACTAGCATTCATCACTTTGCATAGTAATAACTTATGTGCCTTCTGTCCTGTAGAACATGTGCCATGTGCTCTACCCATGAATGACTTGCCCAGTTCTGAGTCTCTACTTGTTGAGCACAGGGTCTGGCACAAATTGAAGGTCATTGTATTTAGCCTGCATCATATTATGGCTTCAACTTCCTCCTACACTTTGCGGGACTTTCTTGAAGGCAGATGGCAAAATCCCTGGAGCACTTTCATATTTGTCAATTGAATTCTTTCATTTTACAACAAGGAAACTGAGGCTCAGAGAAGGGAAGGATTCACAAAGAAAGTTTTGTCAAACCGGGCCTGGAATTCTGATCACCTGACACCTCAGGCTTGAACTTGCTGTGCAAAAGGCATTGTTAGAAATAGTAGGGCTACAGAGTTTACTATATCACAGCTGAACTGAGGTCCTTAAAGGTTAGCAAAATAATTTATTGAGTAATTTATTGAATGAATGAATGAAACACAAACCAAGAAGTCACAGCTTTGTTAGCCTAGGATGAGCTCTATCCACAGAAGCATTTATTCACCCCTCAGAAGAGAATTTTTTTTTTTTTTTTTTTTGAGACGGAGTGTTGCTCTGTCACCCCGGCTGGAGTGCAGTGGCTCGATCTCGGCTCACTGCAACCTCCGCCTCCCAGGTTCAAGCGATTCTTCTGCCTCAGCCTCCCAAGTAGCTGGGACTACAGGCACCTGCCACCATGCCTGGCTAATTTTTGTATTTTTAGTAGAGACGGGATTTCACCATGTTGGCCAGGCTGGTCTCAAACGCCTGACCTCATGATCCGCCTGCCTTGGCCTCCCAAAGTGCTGGGATTTCAGGCGTGAGCCACTGTGCCCGGCCTAGAAGAAAATTTTAAATTGGCTTTTAGGAAGGTTTTTTAGCAGCTAAACTTTGGATGAGCCTAAGAAGAAAGAGTTCAGGCCTTGGCCAGGTGCAGTGGCTCAACTCTGTAATCCCAGCACTTTGGGAGGCCGAGGCAGGTGGATCACTTGAGGTCAGGAGTTCGAGACCAGCCTGGCCAACATGGTGAAACCCTGTCTCTACTAAAAATACAAAGATTAGCCGGATGCGGTGGCACACACCTGTAGTCCCAGCTACTTGGGAGGCTGAGGCAGGAGAATTGCTTGAACCTGGGAGTCGGAGGTTGCAGTGTGCTGAGATTGAGCCACTGCACTCCAGCCTGGCGACAGAGTGAGACTGCATCTCAAAAAAAAAAAAAAAAAAGAAAGAAAGAAAGAAAAAGAAAAAAGAAATTAGTAAACACTGCAAATCAGGAATCTTCTGAGCCAGATGTTTTGTTTTGTTTGTTTGAGATAGAGTCTTGCTCTGTTGCCCAGGCTGGAGCGCAATGGTGTGATCTTGGCTCACTGCAACCTCCACCTCGCGGGTCCAAGCAATTCTCCCGCCTCAGCCTCCTGAGTAGCTGGGACTACCGGTTCACACCAAAATGCCCAGCTAATTTTTGTATTTTTAGTAGAGATGGGGTTTCACCATGTTGGCCAGGCTGGTCTCGAACTACTGACTTCAGGTGATCCACCCGCCTTGGCCTCCCAAAGTGCTGGGATTACAGGTGTGAGCCACCGCACCCAGCCAGAGCCCGGTGTTTGTTAAATTTACCAGACATATATCAGACATTATCAGATATTTATCAGACATATCTGGTTATCATTATTACTGAAATGGATAACAACTCATTCGCTCTGGGCAAATACAATGCACATCCGTTTGCCTATTTTTACTAATGTGACTGCTCATTTGAGTCAGAACCAGCCAATTCAACAAAATGGCTAATTGGTTTCCCCACTCCAACCCCCATGGTCAGAGGCCGTGGGCCTCGCTGGGAGTTCTGTCTCACAGTATTGCACGAGGGGACCCAACTCAGTCAAAATGCTCCACTGGCCACATTTCTCAAGGTCGCCACTCACACGCCTTTAGAAACAGGAAGCCTGTCCCTTGCCTCCTCCAAGCAGAAGATGTCTCAGCAGTTCCAAGGTGCACAGGAGCTTTCAAGAGTCACCTTCATGGTGAGATGGTGAGTTTGTCACACATGAGCTGGTTTCTTACCTGGATCTGTCTCTGCATGGGAGCTGGCGTCCTGTCGCTCTTCTTGAGACTGAGGTTGCCACATCCAGGAATGCTCACGGCAAACTCGTCTGTGGGGACACCAAACCCACCCCCACTGCCAAGTCTCCACCCTGGCCCCTGGCCCCTGCCAGGACCCCCTACCACACCATGAGGGTCCTCTGGTAGGCCTTGCGGGAGCGACACGGGGCAGTGAGAAGATTCTGGCTTCTGGACAGCCGTGGGTCATGAGCTTCCCTGGAAAAGGGATGGTTGCCTAGAGATGACGCCAGGGTCTCTGCCCCGTGGGCTGACTAGAAAGGGGAAGTGGTCAGGATGGGGCTCACTGTCTCTAGCAGTGGGTGAAGGCCTGTGAGTGAGGAATGCCTCTCACCAGCTGTGCCTGAGCTGCAGCACTCCAGCCACTGCTGTCTCCTTAGCTGCTCACATATGGATACTTTCACAGTTCAGGTAAGCATCTCAGCTTTCCAAGGGACAGTTTCCTGCTCTCTTCACAGCAGACATCTGCCAGCGCTGGCATCAGGGCGTGTCCCTGGGAGCCACCGATCAGCACTGGGCCAGGGGATTGCAGCCTGGGGCCCTGGTACGACTGCTGTGTAGGGTTGGAGAAAAACTTGCATTGAAGGATCTGCTCTACTGGTAACTGGCTGAGTGACCTGAGGCATCACTTCACCTCTCTGGGCCTTTTCCTCATGTGTATGTCAGGGGCGATGAAGAAGTCTACCTCTTGGATTGAAATGAGATAATGACCGGGAGTGAGAGGTCTCAACTGTAACGAGTTACTCTCACTTTCTGGATGCCGATGGTGTGTTTTGGGACTTGTTATGTGAGAAGACTGTCATGGTGCTATGCTGGAGGTGGGGGTGGGAGCGAGGCACTGACTGTGTCAATTTATTTATTTTTATTTTATTTTGAGATGGAGTTTCGCTCTTGTCGCCCAGGCTGGAGTGCAGTGACGTGATCTCGGCTCACTGCAACCACCGCCTCCCGGGTTCAAGCGATTCTCCTGCCTCAGCCTCCTGAGTAGCTGGGATTACAGGCACCCGCCACCACACCTGGCTAATTTCTGTATTTTTAGTAGAGACGGAGTTTCACCATGTTGGCCAGGCTGCTCTCGAACTCCTGACCTCAGGTGATCCGCCCGCCTCGGCCTCCCAAAGTGCTGGGATTACCGTAGCATGAATTTAGGCTACGTCTTGGGGCTCTTGGATGAAAGACCTGGATCACCTCCAGTCTTGGTACCTTTGTCATTGCATCTCTGGCTTTCAGTAGTTCATTAGGCACCTTCCCTTCCAGAGGCCTCGAGATCAAAGTGTGTTGGGCTGGCGTGAGTTCTCGGTGTAGCCATCTGCTTTTGCCCTCTGGAAAATTATTTTGAGAAGAGATCTGGGTTTGGCTTTGCCATATCCACTCCCACTGCCTGGTGTGTCCACTTGTCCCTGAGGTCTTGGCCATGAAGCAATGTGGAGCACAGGCTTCACTCTGCTTCAGTGGTAAATAACTACTGAGAGGCAGGCGGGGCATGGTGGCTCACGCCTCTAATCCCAGCACTTTGGGAGGCCAAGGTGGGCAGATCACAAGGTCAAGAGATCAAGACCAGCCTGGCCAACATGGTGAAACCCTGTCTCTACTACAAATACAAAAATTAGCTGGGCATGGTGGTGGGCGCCTATAGCCCCAGCTACTCGGGAAGCTGAGGCAGGAGAATCGTTTGAGCCCGGGAGGTGGAGGTTGCAGTGAGCCAAGATTATGTCACTGCACTCCAGCCTGGTGACAGAGCAAGACTCCATCTCAAAAACAAACAAACAAACTACTGAGAGGCTTAAAGCAAGGAAGGGACAGGGTCACACTGGTATTTGGCAGCCAGTGGGGAGCCCAGTGGGGGCTAGGGGCCAGCGAAAATGCAATGGTCCAGGTACAGAGATGAGGACTTGGACTACATTTGGAGGCTGATGGGCTGAAGCGGGGTGGGGATGGGGCCATGGGAGAAAGAGGAATGAGGCAAGGTTTCCGGTCTTTTCCAGAAGTGAAAGTATAGAGAAGGGAAGAAGAGAGGCTGGACTCCTTTTAATGACCCTGCCGTGCACTTCCCCATGCACACTTGGGTTTTAAGTTGCCAGTGACTATCCACATGGCCATTTCTGGTGCTGACATCAGTGAGAAGGACAAGTGGAGCGAGGCTCAGTGGCTCACGCCTGTAATCCCAGCACTTTGGGAGGCCGAGGCAGGTGGATCACTTGAGGTCAGGAGTTTGAGACCAGCCAGGCCAACATGGCAAAACCCCATCTCTACTAAAAATACACAAAAATTAGCCGGGTATGGTGGTGCGTGTCGGTAATCCCAGCTACTCAGGAGGCTGACACAGGAGAATAGCTTGAACCAGGAAGTAGAGGTTGCAGTGAGCTGAGATTGCACCAGTGGAGTCTAGCCTGGGTGACAGAGCAAGACGCCATCTCAAAAAAAAAAAAAGAAGAAGAACGAGTGGGAACAAGGCCTCACTTAGCATGAACAGCAACAGTCGGGGAATTAGAGGTGAACTGGGGCAAGAACTGCTCATGCCAACCGGCCTAAATGTTCTCTACAGCCTCTCAGACCCTCGAGATCTAGACTGAGATTAGTTCGAACCCTCATTCCAGGCCTGCCGAAGTCCAAAGCCCTCCCCAGGACTTCTGTGGACTCCCGAGGAGCCCACCTCTTTTTCCATGGTCAGCAATGGGCCTGCAGCCTCTGTGGGTAAAACTGTTTACACTGCGCTGTTTACACTGCACTGTTTGCACTGTTTATACTGTTTATACTGCACTGTTTATACTGCACTGTTTACACTGCACTGTTTATATTCCACCCCTTTCTTAGTCCCCCACACCCCTAGAACAAATCTGCTCACAAAAGAATTGGCAGATGCAGCAGACTTTACCAAAGACTCAGCGGGGGACCACCAGAGGGGCTTGTAACGCATCAGCGCAAACAACTGCACACAGAACATAACACGGCGCTGCTCTGAAAATGTCTTTGCCAGCCCATCCCTGAGCATTTTCTATCAGCTCCTCCTCTTGATACCAAATGAGGCCCATTCTGCTCATCGCACAGTAAGCCAATCACTGAGGTGACCAGTTTTTTTTTTTTGTTTTTGAGACGGAGTCTCGCTCTGTCGCCCAGGCTGGAGTGCAGTGGCGCAATCTCGGCTCACTGCAAGCTCCGCCTCCCGGGTTCACGCCATTCTCCTGCCTCAGCCTCCCGAGTAGCTGGGACTACAGGCGCCTGCCACCATGCCTGGCTAATTTTTTGTATTTTTTAAGTAGAGACAGGGTTTCATTGTGTTAGCCAGGATGGTCTTGATCTCCTGACCTCGTGATCCGCCCGCCTCAGCCTCCCAAAGTGCTGGGATTACAGGCGTGAGCCACCGCGTCCCGCCAAGATGACCAGTTTTGCAGCACAGAATGCATTTATTCATGAGGCAGCCAAGTGAGGAGATGGGAAAACAGGTCTCAAACCCACTTCCTCGAAGATGGGGTTTAGAGACGTTTATGGGACAAAGAAGCAGGTGGCCTAAGGTGTGGGGAAGGTGATTGGAGGGAAAAGTAGGACATCGGCAATCTGTGCAAGCCTAGTCAAGCTTCATCGTTCTTCATAGGATGCAGGTTCACAAAATGGTGGCATTAGCATGATGGAAGATGGAGTTTTTGGCGCTCTGACATCAAACGTCACCTACTGGACACTCACACAGACCAAGTTGAAGGATTGATGGTCATAAGTGGCTTGAACTGGATAAGAGCTGACCCCAAGTTCCTGAAAAACAACTTTTTTTCTTTTCTTTTTTTTTTTTTGAGATGGAGTTTCACTCTCGTCACTCAGGCTGGAGTGCAATGGCGTGATCCTGGAGGCTCACTGCAACCTCTACCTCCTGGGTTCAAATGATTCTCCCTCAGCCTTCCGAGTGGCTGGGATTACAGGCGCCTGCCACCACACCAGGCTAATTTCTGTATTTTTAGTAGAGACGGGGTTTCACCATCTTGGCCAGGCTGGTCTCGAACTCCTGACTTCAGGTGATCTGCCTACCTTGGCCTCCCAAAGTGCTGGGATTACAGGCGTGAGCCACCGTGCCCAGCCCTTGAAAAACAACTTAAACAACCATTACTATGATGACCTATATGTCAGAGATGTTATCCAGCAGGAAGCTAGTGGAAGTCCAGTTAAATATTGCTTAGCTACATGACTTTTAGCTCTATAGGCTTTTTTCTTTTTTAAAGACAGGGTCTCACTCTATAACCCAGGCTAGAGTGCACTGATGGTAATCACAGCTCACTGCAGCCTCAATCTCCTAGAGTCAAGCCATCCTCCCACCTCAGCCTCCTGAGTATCTGGGACTACAGGCACATGCCGCCACATCTGGTTTTGTTTTGTTTTGTTTTGTTTTGTTTTTATTTTCAGTAGAGAGAAAGTCTCGCTGTGTTGCCTAGGCTGGTCTTGAACTCCTGGGCTCAAGTGATCCTCCAGCCTCGGCCTCCCAAAGTGCTGGGATTACAAGTGTGAGCCACTGCCCCCAGTAGCTATATAGGTTTTAAGATCAACTAGAAGCAAGTGACTAAAATCAAGTAAGGTAGGTTAAGTTCTGCAGGCCTAATCTAGCCCTCGGGTTCACTCCCACCTTTGCACCATCCTGCTGGCTTCCCTTTTCATCTTTCCATCCCTTCTTCTCATCACCTTCCCTCCCAGAACTCCAAATTCTCCCCTTCTATAACCCAGAGGAATTCAACATTCCCCAGTTCCTACCAGCAAACTTCATTCCTAACCCAGCCAGCTTTGCAGATCTGCAGATCCTCTGCAGGGAGAATAGGGGACTCTCCTGGTCGGTAGCTGCCCTTCTTAGAAGACACTTGCTATTGTAAATAGAACTTGGTTGGTTTGCCCTTAATAATGCCTCATGCTTGGTGATCTTCTGCACACAGAGCTCTTTTGCATGCAACATCTCTTGGAAGCTTTTCAGAAGCCTGCAAGGAGACGTTAAGCATCTTATTCCAAGTGCAACAGCTAAGTGGGAACAGGAAACCTATTCCCTCTGGCCAGGTGCAGTGGCTCATGCCTGTAATCCTGGTACTTTGGGAGGCTGGGGCGGAGGATCACTTGGGGCCCAGAGTTTGAAACCAGCCTAGGCAACATTTTTTGTGTGTCTACAACATTTTTTTGTCTCTACAAAAAGGAAAAGAAGGGAAAGGAGAGGAGAAAAAGGAGAGGAGAGAAGAAAGGAGAGAAGAGGAGAGGAGAAAGGAGAGAGGAGAGGACCGGAGAGGAGAGGAGTGGAGAGGAGAGGAGCAGAGAGGAGAAAGGAGAAGAGGGGAGAAAGGAGATGGGGGAAGGGGAGGGGAGGGGAACTTGTTCCCTTGATGGCCAGCCTAGGGCCCTTCAGCGCTTCATTTATGTGAATACGTGAATAACTATCACAACGTAAACCATATTTCTTACTGAAGATCTTCTTTTAAAAATGCTAAATACGCCGGACGCAGTGGCTCATGCCTGTAATCCCAGCACTTTGGGAGGCCAAGGCGGGTGGATCACCTGAAGTCAGGAGTTCAAGACCAGCCTGACCAATATGGTGTGAAACGCCATCTCTACTAAAAATATAAAAATTAGCCGGGCATGGTGGCGTGCGACTGTAGTCCCAGCTACTTGGGAGGCTAAGACAGGAGAATTGCTTGAACCGGGGAGATGGAGGTTGCAGTGAGCCAAGGTCGCGCCACTGCACTCCAGCCTGGGCAACAGAGCAAGACTCTGTCTCAAAAAAAAAAAAAAAAAAAAAAAAAAAGCTAAATAAACCCACAGTCTCAGAAATTCCTGGTGAAGGAAAATGTGATTTCTGTCCCTGACACCCTGGAAATGCCCTTTGGAGAAATGAAAGTGAAGCTGATGTGTTGACTGCCTTCAGTTGCTCTCCCACTCACACGCCCTCTTCACTGTGGAAGGTCTTGCCAAATCCTTTCCACTGAAACCACCCAGAACTGCAACAGGCTCACTCATGTTCCTTGAAAATGTCATGGACAACTAGAGGAATGGGGAGAAACAAAGGGGAAGCTGGAACTCCACCTCCCCAGCATTGGATTGCCACTGCTTCCCAGCCAGCCTCTTGGCCCCAGTAGCCAATGGCCAGCGCAGGACGGGGAGCCTGCCCAGGGTCGCGTGTCCAGATGAGGCTTTGGAATTAGACTGCACAGCACAGTAATTTCAGTTACTGGACCCAAAGTGACTTCTGCCTGCATTCTCGGGTGGGAGGTCCATCTATAGCAGGGGAAAGAGACTGGGGCATCATCCATTCTTTCGTATATTCACAGATATGTATGGTATGTCCTGCCCCAGGTGATGTTCTAGGCGCTAGAAACACAGTGGTAATTACAGGCAAAGCCTCTGCTCTTATGCTGCTTGCCCATCAGTGTGGGAGACAGACAAGGAACAAACAAATAAAAAGAACAAATACACCAAGAGACAACTGTCACTGTCACAGGCTCAGTTGGAAGAAAAATGCATTTCACTGTTTTTTCTTTTTTTTTTGAGACAGGGTCTTACTCTGTCACTCAGGCTGGAGTGCAGTGGCACATTCATGGCCCAATGTAGCCTCGAATCCCTGGGCTCAAGCAATCCTCTCACCTAAGCTTCTTGAGTAGCTGGGACTATAGGCATGCACCACCTTGCCTGGCAAATTTTTAATTTTTTTTGTAGAGACAAGGTCTTGCTGTGTTGCCCAGGCTGGTTGCTAACTCCTGGCCTTCAGTGATCCTCCTGCCTCAGCCTCCAAAACTGTTGAGATTACAGGTGTGAGCCACTGTGCTCAATGCATTTTTTTTTTTTTTGAGACAAGATTTGGCTCTGTCACCCAGGCTGCAGTGCAGTGGCGTGACTGCAGCTCACTACAGCCTCAACTTCCTGGGCTCCAACAATCCTCCCACTTCAACCTCCCATGTAGCTGGGGCCACAGGCGCGTGCCACCATGCCCAACTTATTTTTCATTTTTAAAATTTTGTTTGGAGAAGGAGTCTAGCTCTGTTGCCCAGGCTGGAGTGCAGTGGCGTGATCTCGGCTCACCACAACCTCCGCCTCCCAGTGTCAAGCAATTCTCCTGCCTCAGCCTCCCAAGTAGCTGAGATTACAGGTGCACACCACCATGCCTGGCTAATTTTTGTATTTTAGTAGAGACGGGGTTTCACCATGTTGGCCAGGCTGGTCTTGAACTCCTGACCTCATGATCTGCCTGCCTCGGCCTCCCAAAGTGCTGGGATTACAGGCATGAGCCACCGCGCCCAACATATTTCACATATACATATTGCAGGGGGTAGTGACATCCCTTCACGTAGCTGAGTTCTTCTTGGGATGCGGTAGGCAAGGAGAAAGGATGGCCTCACGAGAGAGGCTCCACCAACTAAAATTGTGAAGAAAGCGCCATGGGAATGGGGGATGGGGACTGGGCTGGAAGGTGGAGGAGTTGGTGCGTGCTATTGCACTGCTCTGCTCAAGCCGGACCCCTCCCACCTCAACCCCCACACTGTTGACTTTGCCTCCCACCTCAGAGGAAATGGAAACTTAGGTGTGAGCTCTCAACTTCCTGCCCCCAAGCCCCTTCTCTCTGGTTCTATTCAGTGTCACTCCCTTCTCTAATCCTTGTTCCCTTTTGAAAGTTCATTCTGGGTGGGCAGGGTGGCTCACGCCTGTAATCCCAGAACTTTGGGAGGCCGAGGCATGCGGATCACTTGAGATTAGGAGTTCAAGACCACCCTGGCCAACATGGTGAAACCCCCTGAGTAGCTGAGGAGGAGCTTAACCTCCTGAGTAGCTGTGACTATAGGCACATGCCGCCACACCTGGCTAAGTGTAAGAGTGTGTGTGTGTGTGTGTGTGTGTGTGTGTGTTGTGTGTGTGTGTATATAGAGACAGGGTCTTGCTATGTTGCCCAAGCTGATCATGAACTCCTGGACTCAAGTGATCCGCCTGCCTTGGCCTCCTGAAGTGCTAGGATTACAAGCATGAGCTACTGCACTCGGCCAGTGCAAACACTTCTTTGCGATCCTTCAGTAGCCCTCAGTAGTCCTGTACTCACAATCTTATCGGCCCTCTGTGGCAACAACTCCAGGTCTGCCAGCACAGGTAGGATCCAGCTTTCATACCTTCCCAGGGCCTGAACTCGGTCATGCAGCCATTGTGTACTCCCTGTTTTCTGTACTCTCTATCATCCTTCCCCAGGGCTTCCTCTCTCTGGAAGCACCTTGGCCATTAAACCAGCCTGGTGGCCTAGAGGACATCCTACTGGAACTAGGATGTGATTCTCTTAGGCCCCCTCTCTCAGCTGCCCTCTCTCAAAAAGCAAGCTCTCCTTGGTTCTATTAAAAATGTGTCGGCCGGGCGTGGTGGCTCATGCCTGTAATCCCAGCACTTTGGGAGGCTGAGGCAGGCGGATCACCTGAGGTCAGGAGTTCGAGACCAGCCTGGCCAACATGGTGAAACCCCATCTCTACTAAAAATACAAAAAAAATTAGCCGGGCATGGTGGCACACACCTGTAATCGCAGCTACTGGAGAGGCTGAGGCAGAAGAATCGCTTGAACTGGAGAGGTGGAGGGTGCAGTGAGCCGAGATCACGCCATCGCACTCCAGCCTGGGGTACAAGAGCGAGACTTCATCTCAAAAAAAAAAAAAAGAAAGAAAGAAAAAAGAAAAGAAAAAGTGCCTCTCTGCGGTCCATTTCACTTGTAAGAACAAAACTGACAAAAAATATTTATTACTCTGAGTAGTTCTGAAAATGACCCATGGTTTCACTTTCTGACAACATCATTCCACTTCCTCTTTCCCAAGAAACTGATGAGAATGAAATTTCCTTGACCTTGAAACCCAAGCAATAGTTTTTTTTGGAAGCTACACTACATGGCCAATTTATTCTTTCCAGTGTTATCAAAGTAAATGTACGTAGTGCAAAAATCAAGTAATGCAGAGTTTATAACGAAAAGCAACAGCCCCTGTCTTCCCGCCTCGACCTTCCACGCAGTCACAATCCAGATACAACAGCTTTGAATGCGCAGGTCGTGGTATTTATTTCTATCGCTCTAAAGAGTATTGTTTCAGGAAAAACTCTGCAAGCGGTGTTTTTCCTCTGTTCTCACACCAGCACAACAATCACCAACACAGAAAAGGGCTTCTGTGACCAAATGTGTGAGGGTTTTTCCGCCACACACCAAGCAGTGAACACCAGCTGGGTGTTCTCCAATTCAATGCCAGCACTATAGACCCAGAGATAGTATCAGATCTCACAGCTCAGTTCCCAAGACTGCTGCCCCCAACTCCCCAGACGTCAGTCGCAAGTCCGGGCCTCTGGAACTTGAGAGCAACCAGCTTCAAGTTGGGGTTCTCACAACTCCCTCTTTGAGATCGGTGTTTTTTTTTTTTTTTCAGATGGAATCTCGCTCTTGTTGCCCAGGCTGGAGTGCAATGGCACAACCTCGGCTCACCGCAACCTCTGACTCCCAGGTTCAAGCAATTCTCTTGCCTCAGTCTCTCAAGTAGCTGGGATTACAGGCGTGCACCACCATGCCCAGCTAATTTTTTGTATTTTTAGTAGAGAAGGGGTTTCACCATGATGGCCAAGCTGGTTTCGAACTCCTGACCTCATGTGATCCGCCTGCCTCAGCCACCCAAAGTTATGAGATTACAGGCGTGAGCCACTGCACCCAGCCTTTGCTTTTGTTTTGAGATGGAGTCTTGCTCTGTTGTCCAGGCTGGAATGTAGTGGCGTGATCTCGGCTTACTGCCACCTCTGCTTCCTGGCTTTAAGCAATTCTCCCGCCTCAGCCTCCTGAGTAGCTGGGACTACAGGCATGTGCCACCACACCCAGCTAATTTTTGTATTTTTAGTAGAGACAGGGTTTCGCCATGTTGGCCAGGCTGGTCTTGAACTCCTGACCTGAAGTGATCTGCCCTCCTCAGCCTCCCAAAGTGCTGGGATTACAGGCGTGAGCCACCGCACCTGGCCGTGTTATGCAGTTTTATTGGAGGTTTGATGGTAACAAAAGGCGACACCACAGCATAACCTAGGTAGCAATTTAAGGCTGGACATGAGGCATTACTGTCCTAGAAACGCCTTGGTCATTTGCCACTATGGGAGCTTCCTAACCAGGATCTGACTTGTGCTCTCTTCTTGACCTCTCACTCTGCTGCTAACCTTTTCCGAGACTTTCCCGGTCTCTGGTCTGTCAGCTTCCAGCCCCCAAATGCCTGTTAACTCTCTCATGCAGATCAACTCAGTTTGCCCTGTATCTTCAGCTTCACCCTTCTGACCATAACTCACTCAAAGAGACCCATCCAGCTATTTTTCTAACCCTCAACTCAAACAAAAGCTCTCAAAATTTCTCTCCCCTGCTATGCATTAAGTCTGACTTGTCCTTGTGATTAAAAACAACTGGCTGGGCATGGTGGCTTGCACCTATAATCCTAGCACTTTGGGAGGCCGAGGCAGGTAGATCACAAGGTCAGGAGTTCGAGACTAGCTTGGCCAACATGATGAAACCCCGTCTCTACTAAAAATATAAAAATTAGCCAGGCGAGGTGGCACACACCTTTAATCCCAGCTACTCAGGAGGCTGAGGCAGGAGAATTGCTTGGGAGGCAGAGGTTGCAGTGAGCCAAGATCGCGCCACTGCACTCCAGCCTGGGCGACAGAGCAAGCCTCTGTCTCAAAAAACAAACAAACAAACAAACAAACAAACAAACAAAAAAACTGGCCTGGTGCAGTGGCTCACGCCTGTAATCCCAGCACTTTGGGAGGCCGAGGCAGGCAGATCACGAGGTCAGGAGATCGAGACTATCCTGGCTAACACGGTGAAACCCCGTCTCTACTAAAAAAATACAAAAAAATCAGCCGGGCGTGGTCGTGGGCGCCTGTAGTCCCAGCTACTCGGGAGGCTGAGGCAGGAGAATGATGTGAACCCAGGAAGCAGAGTTTGCAGAGAGCCCAGATCGCGCCACTGCACTCCAGCCTGAGTTACAGAGCGAGACTCCGTCTCAAGAAAAAAAACAACCCTGCAGTCAATTATTGCTTTAAATGGCACCTTCCCCCTCCTGCTGCATGTCTGAAAGAGCAGTGATGATGTCTACCATTTCTAGAGGGCCCAGTAGGTACATGTTCGATCTCCAGTCCTCACAAACCTCAGTGAAGTAGGAGATATCATTCCCATATTATAGATGAGGCTCACAGAAGGTCGAGTGACATGCCTGAGGTCCCCCAGGTGTTAATGAGTAGGGTATGGCTGTGATCCAGTGCCTGATTCCTAAGCAGATGTCTGCATCTCTACACAACACAGTAGATTAGCTGGGCACGGTGGCTCATGTCTGTAATCCCAGTACTTTGGGAGGCCAAGACAGGTGAATCACCTGAGGTCAGGAGTTCCAGACCAGCCTGGCCAACGTGGCGAAACCCCATCTCTACTAAAAATACAAAAATTAGCCAGGCGTGGTGGCAGGTGCCTGTAGTCCCCGTTACTCTGGAGGCTGAGGCAGGAGAATCACTTGAACCCGGGAGGTGGAGGTTGCAGTGAGCTGAGAGCTGAGATCACGTCATTGCACTCCAGCCTGGGCGACAGAGTGAGACTCCGACTCAGAAAAGAAAAAAAAAACAACCCACAGTAGATAACTGCCCCACTCCACCCAACCCCAGGATATCTTTCATTCATACCTCATTCTTCTCTCTCCATTCTTCTCAGGATTCCACTGCAATGAGCTGGTGGAGGAATAATTTCTGGATCATCTTAGCTGTGGCCATCATCGTTGTCTCTGTGGGTCTGGGCCTCATCCTGTACTGTGTCTGTAAGTGGCAGCTTAGACGAGGTAATGGCCATTTTACCTAGGCAGGTGGAGGGAGGAGCCAGGTGGTTATCGGTGCAGTAGAGCTCCTTTAGGGCAAGCAAATCAATCCTGGGCCTGAATGAGCTGAATTTTGGATTAAGCATCTTGCATTCTGGGTTTGAGTCCTAACCCTGCCACTACATTATGTCTCTAGGCCTCAGTTTCCTCATCCACACAGTGAAAGGAGGGACATCAACTAATCTCCAAGAGCCCTTCCAGCCCTAATCATCTGGGTGAAAGCAGAATCTGTTTGAAGGCACAGTATGCTCAAGTGCTTTTTCTTCCCTATGTGGCTACTGCGCACAGCATCTTGCGAGAACACAAGTATATGGAATATTAAGAACTGTCTCGGCTGGGCGTGGTGGCTCATGCCTGTAATCCCAGCCCTTTGGGAAGCCCAGGTGGTGGGATCCTCTGAGGTCAGGAGTTCGAGACTAGCCTGGCCAAAATGGCGAAACCCCGTCTCTACTAAAAATACAAAAATTAGCTGGGTGTGGTGACGGGTGCCTGTAATCCCAGCTACTCAGGAGGCTGAGGCAGGAGAATCACTTGAATCCAGGAGGCGGAGGTTGCAGTGAGCCGAGATCGTGCCACTGCACTCCAGCCTGGATGACAAGAGTGAGACTCCATATCAAAAAAGAAAAAAAAAGAACTGTCTTGAGGAATAAAATATGGACTCAATCCACAGCCAACATGTTTGGCCACCATGATTGCCTTCTCTGAGACCATACTCTGAATTTTCTGGTATTACCTAGACCAGAAACCTCTTGGCACCCTCAGACATAAATAAGTGGCCTAGGGATTAACACTAACTTTAGATTATCTGTAAGTGGGGTTTCCACTTTCCTGTTCATCTCCAGAAACACGAAAGCTTTAATTCAATGGCGTGTTATCTTGACCTCTCATTCCTTTAAATAACAACCTGGCCGGGCGCGGTGGCTCACGCCTGTAATCCCAGCACTTTGGGAGGCTGAGGTGGGTGGACCACGAGGTGAGGAGATCAAGACCATCCTGGCTAACACGGTGAAACCCCGTTTCTACTTAAAATACAAAAAAAATTAGCCGGGCGTGGTGGCAGGCGCCTGTAGTCCCAGCTACTAGGAAGGCTGAGGCAGGAGAATGGTGTGAACCTGGGAGGTGGAGCTTGCAGTGAGCCGAGATCGCATCACTGCCCTCCAGTCTGGGCGACAGTGTGAGACTCCATCTTAAAAAAAAAAAAAAACAAGTTTTCATTCCTGCCAGGTGCAGTGGCCCACGCCTGTAATCTCAGCACAGCTCTTTGGGAGGCTGAGGCGGGTGGATCACTTGAGGTCGGGAGTTCAAGACCAGCCTGGCCAACATGGCGAAACCCCCATCTCTATTAAAAATACAAAAATTAGCCAGGTGTGGTGGCAGGCACCTGTAACGTCAGCTACTCAGGAGGCTGAGGCAGGAGAATCGCTTGAACCCAGGGAGCAGAGGTTGCAGTGAGCCGAGATTGCGCCACTGCACTCCAGCCTGGGCAACAAGAGTGAGGCTCTGTCTGGGGGGAGAAAATAGTTTCCATTCTCAAATATGGACAAAGGAATGACCCAGAACTAAAACTTCACCTACTTTCTTTTTATCCTCAACCACTCCTATTAACAAGCAGGCTATAATTTATAACAACGTGTATGTCCATCTACAGGATACAAACTGCTTTTCCGATTCTTTATCTGATTTCCTCCCAACCACACTTTTGATTATTCATTCAGCCAACATTTCTAAGTGCCACCTAAGTGCCAGGCATAGAGAAAATAAACACCACCCATGCTGTGGCTGCCTTCACTGGGTTAGTGCAGAGGCTCTGTGGTTAGACTGTCTGGGTTCTAAGTCCGGCTCTATCATTTATTAACTGTGTCCCTAAGTGTGTTTTCTCTGGGTTAAATTAAAAAATCACAACTTTTGCTAATTCTTCTTCAATGAACATGCTTTTCCCCTCTTAGGCAAGAAATGGGAAATTGCCAAGCCCCTGAAACACAAGCAAGTAGATGAAGAAAAGATGTATGAGTAAGTAGGGGGGAATCCTTCCGCTTTTTACTGTTGAGAACTGCCTGTTCCCTTCCACCCTTGCCCCTCCACTACCGTACCAGTATGACTGAGACATCCGCATTTCCTGTAGAGCTGGCGAGACTTCACACCTGCCAAATCTCTCCACATAAGGGCAGAGACTCAGGACATTGTCGATGCAGGGCAAGTCCTCCCTCCTCTCATCTCTCTCTCTCTTTTTTTTTTTTTTGAGATGGAGTCTTGCTCTGTCGCCCAGGCTGGAGTGCATTGGCACGATCTCGGCTCACTGCAGCCTCCGCCTCCTGGGTTCAAGCAATTCTCCTGCCTCAGCCTCCCAAGTAGCTGGGATTACAGGCACCCACCATCATGCCTGCCTAATTTTTGTATTTTTAGTAGAAATGGGGTTTCGCCATGTTGGCCAGGCTGGTCTCAAACTCCTGACCTCAGGTGATCCACCCACCTTGGCTTCTCAAAGTGCTGGGACTACAGGCGTGAGCCACCAGGCCCGCCTGGTAGTTCTATTTTTTTTTATTTTTATTTTTTGAGATGGAGTCTCACTCTGTCACCCAGGCTGGAATGCAGTGGCGCAATCTCGGCTCACTGCAACCTCTGCCTCCCAGGTTCAAGCAATTCTCCTGCCTCAGCCTTCCAAGTAGCTGAGATTACAGGCACACGCCAGCATACCCAGCTACTTTTTGTATTTTGTATTTTTAGTAGAGACGGGGTTTCACCATGTTAGCCAGGCTGATCTCAAACTCCTGACCTTGTGATCCACCCGCCTTGGCCTCCCAAAGTGCTGGGATTATAGACGTGAGCCACTGCACCCAGCCTCTTTTTTTTTTTTTTTTTTTTTTGGAGATGGGGTCTTGCTATGTTGCCCAGGCAGCTCTAAAACTCCTGTGGGTCTCAAACTCCTGGGCTCAAGCAATTCCCCCACCTTAACTTCCCAAGTAGCCGGGATTACAAGCACATGCCACCGTGCCCAGCCTACTCTCATCTATTCTGACAAAGGTCACAGGTTGGGCTCTGTGTTCTGGGCCCAGCGCCCAGTCTATACTTCTTTTCTTTTGGTGGATTCCAAATATAGTCTTCCAAAAGCTACTGCGCTGAAGAAAAATATGCCATCCACTTTACTTTTGTGTTTTGTGATCTATTTGGGGCTTTATGACCAATATCTGCGTTGGGGATCTCCAAGGCCACTCTTAGGCTTGAGAATTCACTAGAAGAACACAGAAAAGCGATTTTGCTCAACAATTACAGTACATTATGGCGAAAGAATACAGATTAAAATCAGCAAATGAAAAAGTGATGGAGTGTGGGGTCTAGCAGAAAGCAGGCAAAGCTTGCAGTTGTCCTCTCCCAGTGAAGTCGCACAGAGAGCCCCAGTTCTCCCAGTAACAATATGTGGCAACAGACGCGAAGCACTGCTGACTGGAGAACCTCACCTGAGCCTTGGAGTACAGAGTTTTTCTTTTACTGGGGGTTAGTCATGTAGGCATGGAATACCTGCACTTAGCTTTATCAAATTGATCAAACATGGCCCAGGGCCCCAGGCAAACAAAAACAGGCATTCACCATAAACCACATTATTAACATAAACTATCTGGTGTGGCCCAAGGCTCCCAGATATACAAAGACACTCTTTATTTATTTATTTACGAGATGGAGTCCCAGTCTGTCACCCAGGCTGGAGAGCAATGGCGTGATTTCGGCTCCCTGCAACCTCTGCCTCCCAGGTTCAAGTGCTTCTCCTGCCTCAGCTTCCTAAGCAGCTGGGATTACAGGCACCTGCCACTATGCCCAGCTAATTTTTGTATTTTTAGTAGAGATGGCGTTTCACCATGTTGGCCATGGCTGGTCTGGAACTCCTGACCTCAAGTGATCCACCCACCTTGGCCTCCCAAAGTGCTCGGATTACAAGTGTGAGCCACCATGCCCGGCCTCAAAGACACTTTTTTTGTTGTTGTTGAGACAGAGTCTCGCTCTGTCACCCAGGCTGGAGTGCAATAGCGCGATCTCGGCTCACCACAACGTCTGCCTCCCAGGTTCAAGTGATTCTCCTGCCTCAGTCTCCTGAATAGCTGGGATTACAGGCGCGCGCCACCACACCTGGCTAATTTTTTGTATTTTTAGTAGAGACGGGGTTTCGCTATGTTGGCCAGGCTGGTCTCGAACTCCTAACCTCGTGATCTGCCCATCTCGGCCTCCCAAAGTGCTGGGATTACAGGCGTGAGCCACCACGCCCGGCCGGAGACACTCTTATTAGGAAGAATATTCCAAGGGTTTAGAGATTATTTCCCAGGAGCCAGTCAAGAGCCAGTCCTTTCTTTGGAGTATACACACTATCTAAAACAAAACTTACACTTGGGGCGAGGTGCAGTGGCTCATGCCTGTAATCTCAGCACTTTGCCAAAGTGGGAGTATCACTTGAGGCCAGGAGTTCAAGACCAGCCTGGACAACATAGTGAGACCCTGTATACAAAACATTTTTAAATCTCTGCTTTTCTAAAATGGCTTTTGTTGTAGCTTCAGGGATCCAGCAAATAAGACTCCCCCTGCCTCCATCAATTCTGATCCCTTTCAAGAATAAGACAAATGTGTCAGGCAGTCAGGTGACTAAATATTGCCTTTTTTAAGAATAAAACTGGGGCCAGGTGCAGCAGCTCACACCTGTAATCCCAGACTTTGGGAGGCCGATGCAGGCAGATCACCTGAGGTCAGGAGTTCGAGACCAGTCTGGCCAACATGGTGAAACCCTGTCTCTACTAAAAATACAGAAATTAGCTGGGCATGGTGGTGTGTGCCTGTAATCCCAGCTACTTGGGAGGCTAAGGCAGGAGAATTGCTTGAACCCAGGAGGTGGAGGTTGCAGTGATCCAAGATCGTGCCACTGCACTCCAGCCTGGGTGACGAGTGAAACTCAGTCTCAAAAAAAAAAAAGCAAAAAACTAAAACTGGTATTGGCCAGGGGCAGTGGTTCATGCCTATAATCCCAGCACTTGGGAGGCCCAAGTGGGAGGATGGCTTGAGGCCAGGAGTTTGAAACCAGCCTGGGCAACATAGTGGGGACCCATATCTGAGAAAAATACCAAAATTAGCCAGGTGTGGTGGTGTCTGCCTGTAGTCCCAGCTACTTGGGAGGCTGAGGTGGGAGGATTGCTTGAACCCCTGAGGTCAGGGCAGCAGTGAGCTGTGATCGTGCCACTGAACTCCAGCCTGGGTGTCAAAGTGAGACCCTGTCTCAAAAAAAAAAAATGTTGGTGGGACGGTAAACTAGTTCAACCATTGTGGAAGTCAGTGTGGCGATTCCTCAGGGATCTAGAACTAGAAATACCATTTGACCCAGCCATCCCATTACTGGGTATATACCCAAAGGACTATAAATCATGCTGCTATAAAGACACAGGCACACGTATGTTTATAGCAGCACTATTCACAATAGCAAAGACTTGGAACCAACCTAAATGTCCAACAACGATAGAATGGATTAAGAAAATGTGGCACACATACACCATGGAATACTATGCAGCCATAAAAAATGATGAGTTCATGTCCTTTGTAGGGACATGGATGAAACTGGAAACCATCATTCTCAGCAAACTATCGCAGGGACAAAAAAACAAACACCGCATGTTCTCACTCATAGGTGGGAATTGAACAATGAGAACACATGGACACAGGAAGGGGAACATCACACACCGGGGACTGTTGTGGGGTGGGGGGAGGGGGGAGGGATAGCATTAGGAGATATACCTAATGCTAAATGACGAGTTAATGGGTGCAGCACATCAACATGGCACACGTATACACATGTAACAAACCTGCACGTTGTGCACATGTACCCTAAAACTTAAAGTATAATAATAATAAAACAAACACACACACACACACACACACACACACACAAGCAAACAAAAAAGAATAAAACTGGGATTGCAGAATGTGGCTCTTTTCTGTGAGCTAGTGAGTTTCCTAATTTGGAACCGGGTGACTTTCCTAACCAGTTCACAGGCAGCTCCGGAAAACCTCAGGTCTCCCCCACCGAGTAGACCCCTTTTTCTGAATGGCAAAGACCAGAGCAGGATTTGTGAATTCTGCAGTCAGGCCAGCTCTGGAGGAGAAAGTGAGAGGAGCTAGACTTTTCCCAAATTTAGCAGTCAGATGAGTTGCTTTCTTCTCTTAGGAAGAGCTACAGAGGGATGGTGAGAGCCGCCGGTGGAGCTCTACCCCCATGTCCCCGTCTGCACTCAACCTAACAACCTAAAAATGTTTATTCATTCTCAGGGGGACTTTATAGCATATAGGAGTCAAATCAGTGTACCTAGGGGGATGGAGGCCCAAGTAAGGAAGTTTTCTTAGAGTTTATCTTTTAGTTAAAACTTTGTACCAAAGTATCATATAAATACAGGAAAATGGAAATACTGAGTGTGCAACCTGATGAATTTCCACGAACTCAACAGACCCAGGTCACTGGCACCCAGATCAAGAAATAGGACGTTACCAGCACTTCAGAGGCTGACTTTATACAGCCTTTCAACCATTACATCCCAAAGGCAATCACTGTCTGTGATAGTATAAATTAGCTTTTTGGGTTTTTTTTGTTTTTTGTTTTTTTGTTTTTGAGATGGAGTCTCACTCTGTTGCCCAGGCTGGAGTGCAGTGGCGCGATCTTGGCTCTCTGTAACCTCCGCCTCCCAGATTCAAGCAATTCTTCTGCCTCAGCCTCCTGAGTAGCTGGGATTATAGGCATGCGCCACCACACCTGGCTAATTTTTGTATTTTTAGTAGAGACTGGGTTTCATCATGTTGGCCAGGCTAGTCTCGATCTCCTGACCTCATGATCTGCCTGCCTTGGCCTCCCAAAGTGCTGGAATTACAGGCATGAGCCACCGTGCCCAGCAGCTTTTTGGTTTTTATGCAATCTATTAATGGCATCATATAGTATATATTATTTGGTGTTTGGCTTTTTTGCTCAACATCATTTTTATGAGATTCATTGTGTGTAGTTGTAGATTGTTCATTCTTGTTGCTATAGAACATTCCACCGTGGGAGTACACCAGTATTTATTTATTTATTTATTTATTTTGAGACAAGGTCTCACTCTCAACCAGGTTGGAGTACAGTGGTGCAATCATAGCTCACTGTCACCTCAAATTTTGGGCTCAAGTGATCCTCTTGCTTCAGTCTCCTGAGTAGCTGGGACTACAGGTGTATGCCACCACAACCTGCTAATTATGTTGATTTTTTTGTAGAGACTGGGTCTCCCTGTGTTGCCCAGGGTCTCCCTATATTACCCTTAAACCCCTGGGCTCAAGCCATCCTCCCTCTTTCGCCTCCCAAAGTGCTGGGATTACCAATGTCAGCCACCTTGCCCAGTCACTTTACCATAATTAATCTATCCATTCTACTGCTGATGGACATTTGAGTTGTGTGATGGCAAATTTTATGTGTCTGTGCTTCTCTGGACAACCCAGACTAATACAGGTCGTGTCCAATTCAGAGCTGTTATGAATAGTGTTGCTCTGAACATTCTAATGCATGTTTTGGTGAACAGATGCGAGCATTTCAATAGTCTGTAGACCCAGTAGTGGAAATGCTGACTCAAGGTGTGTGTACATTCTGCTTTAGGAGTTCATCTGCTTTTGTTTTTTGTTTTTTTATTTGTTTGTTTTGAGACAGAGTCTCACTCTGTTGCCTAGGCTGGAGTGCAGTAGCATGATCTCGGCTCACTGCAACCTCCGCCTCCGAAGTTCAAGTGATTCCCCTGCCTCAGCCTCCCGAATAGGTGGGATTACAGGTGAGCATCATCATGCCCAGCTGATTTTTGTATTTTTAAGTAGAGACAGGGTTTCACCATATTGGCCAGGCTGGTCTTGAACTCCTGACCTCAGGTGATCCGCCTGCCTCGGCCTCCCAAAGTGCTGGGATTACAGGCATGCGCCACCATGCCCGGCTCATCTGTTTTGCAAATAGAAATACATCTGGTGCCTACCTCTCCGAATCCAGCTCAGGTGAACCAGGAAGGTGTGCTCCATGCTCTGAATTATAGCACTTTATTTCCCTCCCCTCATTTTCAGCCATTTCCAGGGCTACAGAAAACGGTTTCATTAGGGTGCCAATTACAAATGGGAACCAGGACCTACAAAGGAAAGGAAATGCTTCCAATTAGTAGAGACCAAGATTTGAATGTTCAACCCATTCACTTTCCTTGATGTTTTCTCTTAAATCGGCTGGGAGCAGGCATGGCCCAAACCAAACACTGATTCTCTCTCTTTCTCTCTCTCTAGGAATGTTCTTAATGAGTCGCCAGTTCAATTACCGCCTCTGCCACCGAGGAATTGGCCTTCTCTAGAAGACTCTTGTAAGTATATTTTACTGGTAGCAGTTTCATTTAGGGTAAGATAACGAGTTTATCAAGGTGTCTTTTTTTTTTTTTTTTTTTTTTTTAGATGGAGTCTTGCTCTGTCACCCAGGCTGGAGTGCAATGGCACGATCTCGGCTCACTGCAAGCTCCGCCTCCCGGGTTCATGCCATTCTCCTACCTCAGCCTCCGGAGTAGCTGGGACTACAGGCACCCGCCACCACGCCCAGCTAATTTTTTGTATTTTTAGTAGAGAAGGAGTTTCACCGCGTTAGCCAGGATGGTCTCGATCTCCTGACCTCGTGATCCACCGGCCTCGGCCTCCCAAAGTGCTGGGATTATAAGCGTGAGCCACTTTTTTTTGTTTTTGAGATGGAGTCTCGCTCTGTCCCCCAGGCTGGAGTGCAGTGGCGCGATCTCCACTCACTGCAAGCTCCGCCTCCCAGGTTCACACCATTCTCCCACCTCAGCCTCCTGAGTAGCTGGGACTACAGGTGCCCACCACCACGCCTGGCTAATTTTTTGTATTTTTAGTAGAGACGGGGTTTCACCATGTTAGCCAGGATGGTCTAAATTTCCTGACCTCATGATCTGTCCACCTCGGCCTCCCGAAGTGCTGGGATTACAGGTGTGAGACACCACGCCCGTCCCCTATGAAGGTGTCTTAGATAGCTCAGGCTGCTGTAACAAAAATACCATAGACTGGGGTGCTTACACAACAGAAATTTGTTTTCTCGTTGTTCTGAAGCTGGAAGCCCGAGATGAGGGTGTTGGCCGATTTCTGTGAGGTTTCTGGTGAGGGTTCTCCTCCTGGCTTGCAGACAGCTGCCTTCTTGCTATGTCCCCACAAATGGCCTTTCCTTGGTGCATTCAAGCTGGGGAAGAGCATCAGGGAGTCAGATTTCTGGTGTTTCTTCTTACAAGGACACTGATCCTGTTGGATCAAGGCCTCATCCCTATGGCCACATATAGCCTCACTGGGGGTTAAGGCTTGAACACCTGAATTTTGGGGGGACACAAACATTCAGTCTGTAACACTAGGATTTATAGATGCAGCATCCTGATTATTTTATTTTTGAGGCAGAGTCTTGGTTTCTCACCCAGGCTGGAGTGCAGTGGCATGATTTCAGCTCACTGCAATCTCCACTTCCTAGGTCCAAGCTATTTTCCTGCCTCAGCCTCCTGAGTAACTGGGATTATAGGCGTGCACCACCACACTCAGCTAATTTTTTGTATGTTTAGTAGAGACGGGGTTTCACCATATTGACCAGGCTCGTCTTGAACTCCTGACCTCAAGTGATCCACCCGCCTCGACCTCCCAAGGTGCTGGGATTACAGGCATGAGCCACCACACACAGCCAGCATCCTGTTTAAAAGAGATAGCCAGAGGCCAGGCACAGTGGCATATGCTTGTAATACCAACACTTTGGAAGGCCAGGGCGGGCTGATGACTTGAGCTCAGGAGTCTGAGAACAGCCTGGGCAACATGGCAAAATCCTATCTTTACAAAAATTAGCCAGCGTGATGGTGCACACTTATAGTCCCAGCTACTTGGAAGGCTGAGGTGGGGGGATCGCTTGAGCCTGGGAGGTCTGCAGTGAGCCACGATAGCATCACTGCACCTGGACGACAGAGTGAGACCCTGTCTCAAAAAAAAAAAAAAAAGGGATGGAAAAGCAAAAAGGGGGCAGCATAAGTACCGACGCACCCAATAGCCTGATATAAGGGTGTAAATTCATGTTCAAATCCCAGCTTGGAACATAAACAGAAAGAAACATGGGGTGTCACTAGGCCTTTCACTTCCTATCAGAAAAACTCTGCCTGGTTCCTTTGACTGGAATGTTCTTCCTTAAGCTCTTTGCCTCGCTGGATTTTCCTCATCCTTCAGATGTCAGCTCAGAAGTTACCACCTCAAAGAGGCCCTCTCTGTCCACTCAACCTAAAGTAGTTCTGCTAATTTCCTTTATGAAACTGACAGTTATCCAAAATTGTGTTATTTACTTATTGTTCATTTATGTATTATTGATCTCCTCCACTGGAGTATAAACTTCAGGAACACAGGAACCTTTTTTGTCCACCACTATTAATATTTATCCACTACCTAGAACAGGGCGTGAGGCTCAGTCGATACTTAAGAAAAATATTTTGATTGGATAGATAAATAATATTAGCTAACATTTATTGAGCATGCGCTGTGTTTCAGGTCCCACACTAAGCACTTTACAGGTATTAGCTCATTCACTCCTCACAACTCTACAAGCCAGGTACATTTTTTTGTTTGTTTGTTTTTTGAGATGGAGTCTCGGTCTGTCGCCCAGGCTGGAGTGCAGTGGCGCAATCTCGGCTCACTGCAAGCTCCACCTCCCGAGTTCATGCCATTGTCCTGCCTCAGCCTCCTGGGTAGCTGGGACTACAGGTGCCTGCCACCATGCCTGGCTAATTTTTTGTATTTTTAGTAGAGATGGGGTTTCACCATGTTAGCAAGGATGATCTCGATCTCCTGACCTCGTGATCCACCCACCTCAGCCTCCCAAAGTGCTGGGATTACAGGCGTGAGCCACCGCGCCCGGCCCAAGCCAGGTACATTTTTATTCCTCTGTGACAGATGAGGATGCTCAGGCACAGATAAGTGACTTACCTATAGTCACACAGCTAATGACTGCTGGAACGTGAACATGAACTCTGGTCTGTCAAACTGCAGAGTTCTGCAAATAGTGGCATTTCAGGTTTTCTTAGGAAAAGATGAGATTGTGGGAGAGGCAGTTCCAATCCCCATCAAAGATGGAGCTGAGCTGTTTCATCATCCTTCTATTACTTATGGACCTGTTCTTTTTGTTTGTTTTTTGTTTCTTTTTCTTTCTTTCTTTCTTTTTTTTTGAGACAGAGTCTCGCTCTGTTGCCCAGGCTAGAGTGCAATGGTGCAATCTTGGCTCACTGCAACCTCTGCCACCTGGGTTCAAGCAATTCTCCTGTCTCAACCTCCCGAGTTGCTGGGATTATAGGCACCCGCCATCACGCCCAGCTAATTTTTGTATTTTTGTAGAGACAGAGTTTCATCAGGCTGGTCTCGAACTCCCGACCTCAGGTGATCTGCCCACTTCAGCCTCCCAAAGTGCTGGGATTACAGGCATAAGCCACCGCGCCCCAGCCTCCTATGAACCTGTTCTGTACTAATTCCACCTTTTGAAAACAACGCCATCCCCTTTCTTCTTAGAGAGATTTGTACATAAGCAATTACAGAGAGTCCTGGAAAACAGTGTAAGTCACTGGAAGGGATGTGCCAAAAAGGAAATATGATTTGTTTCACTTCCTTGTAAAAATTAGGATCTGTAACACAACAGCACTCATATGACTACTGGGCTCTGGTCTGTTTCTTTTCATCCATTCTTTTTTTTTTTTTGGAGACAGGGTCTTACCATGTTGTCCAGGCTGAAGTGCAGTGGCGTGATCATGGCTCGTTGTAGCCTTAACCTCCTGGGCTCAGGAAATCCTCTTGCCTCAGCCTCCCAATTAGCTGGGACTATAGGCATGCACCACCACATCCGGCTAATTTTTAAATTTTTCTGTAGGGACGAGGGTCTCCCTGTGTTGCCCAAGCTGGTCTGGAACTCCTGGGCTCAAGTGATCCTCCCACCTGGGCCTCCCAGAGTACTGGGACTACAGGTGTGAGCTTCTGCACCTGACCTGGTCTGTTTCTTTTCTAAGCTTTTGCTTCATGGTTTCCATGCAGTGCAGGCTTAGGCAGAAAGATACGGGAGTCAAGATGTCTGACTAATATTTTCCAGTTACTCACTTGGGTGATCCTGAGGCTCTGTCAGGTCTGTGTCTAAATTTCCTCTGTAAAATGGGGATCTGGCCCACTAGAAGTGGGAAGATCACTGAAACGTGAAAATCACGCTGAGCCACTGCCTTCAAAAATATAAAAACACATGACAGCTTTGCATCTAAGGAGCTTTTTGTGTATTCTAGCCCCACAGGAAGCCCCAAGTCAGCCGCCCGCTACATACTCACTGGTAAATAAAGTTAAAAATAAGAAGACTGTTTCCATCCCAAGCTACATTGAGCCTGAAGATGACTATGACGATGTTGAAATCCCTGCAAATACTGAAAAAGCATCATTTTGAAACAGCCATTTCTTCTTTTTGGCAAAACTGAAGAGGGTTCACACAACTTATTTTAAAACAATCAAGAATGGTTGAACTTCAGTAGGTCTCTGGGCCCTGAAAGCCAGTGGTGATTTTATGAAGCTCTATAAGATAAAGCACTTCCCAAACCTTAGATGAAGACACCCCTGCGATCGGATGACTGCAGCCAGAGGAGACACATGGGTGCTCGGCTCTGAGGACTTAGAGGGGTCAGCCTTGTGCTGTTGAGGAAACTTTCCATGGGAAGGACCACGGGGCTCCATGGCTCCCACCTGTGGGAAACTACTCATTTCTTGGCATTCTTTCCCCCTTCATTCCCTTTGGTTTGCATGGTTCTGAGTGATATTAAATCTCAGCATTTGGTTGTGCAGACCCTCCCAGGCTCCCATCCCCAGCAAGGCCCTCACCAAGCATGCTGGTCTTTACCCTCTCACCCCACCCACCTCCTGCACTGTGAGGCTGTGGGTGAGTTACAGCTGAGTGCTCTCGTGCCCAGGTTCCCACACCACATCTCGCGAGTTTGCAAGGGCAGGGAGTACCTTTTGTTCTCGTGAACCCTCCCCACCTAGACACCCTGCAAACCCCAGTGCCTTTATATGATGTAGGCCAAATTGACCATAGAGATTTGAGTTTTCACCTAGGTTTTCTCCCCGTGCTTGCAAGTTGTACTGTAACAATGGACAAAGGACAAAAGTTACCTTCTGATTTACACCTAGAAGCATCATTTTGCAATAGGTGTGTTGGGGGTGCTACAGGAAAAATACATTTCCCCCAGGACAAATCATGGGGAACAGGAAAGAAAAGGGGCATGTAACAATGGCATATACAAGATGAGAGTTCAGGGGGCTTAATATCCCCTGTCCATCATTTTCATCAGTACTTACTCGAGTTCTAGGAAAACAGCCTCAAGCCCCTTCCTTCCAGATCACTGTCCCTGGGCATCTGGGAGGAGGCAGAAGGTCCACTGTGATGTGCTGCAGCCAATGAGATGGGCCAGGGACATGGGCAGATGTCTTGTTAAACAAGTGTCCTAATGGGGTCAACAAGGCCCGAGTCAGCTTTATAGGCTCTTAGACCTCATCAATTCCTTCTAGCTGATCGCCAGAGCCCTAGGACTTGACTCATTCTAACTATACTCACAAGATGCTGGTTTCTAAGTGACCTCTGGGAAATCTGGCAAATGAACAGCCTTGCAGAGAGAGCACTGTGAACCTGGAAAGGCCTGAGAGTGACTCAGATTTCCCTCAAGAGATGGGAAAATGTGTTCCTCCCATTTTCAAGCTTTCTCCCTCAATCAACGCTGGAGCACTGGGGACCTGGGCTTCCTCCCTGGTTCTCTCTTTCCAGACTCTATGAAGGCTTCCACCTTGCTATTAATACCTCCTTGGGAGGCCAAGGTGGGCGGATCACCTGAGGTCGGGAGTTCGAGACCAGCCTGACCAACATGGAGAAACCCCATTTCTACTAAAAATACAAAATTAGTCAGGCATGGTCGCGCATGCCTGTAATCCCAGCTACTTGGGAGGCTGAGGCAGAAGAATCGCTTGAAACTGGGAGGCGGAGGTTGCGGTGAGCCGAGAACATGCCATTGCACTCCAGCCTGGACAACAAGAGTGAAACTCCATCTAAAAATAAATAAATAAATAAATAAATAAACCCTCCTTATGTTAGGCCAGTAGTTATCTAACTATGGCCTTATGGGACTCTGGTATCCCACCAGCCAAAGAGAGGACTCTTCCCAAATTATAGAACAAAAATAAGCCAAAGGATTGGAGTGTTTCAAACACATGCTTTCGTCTTATAAATGTTCTGTAAACCCTCCATGACTATGACAAAAGTTAAAAACAAATGCCAGACAAATGTTGATTCTTCCTTGGTTTCTGGGACGCCACCCTCTCCTGGTTCTCCTCCTGTCTCCGTCTCATTTTGGGGCCACCCACTCTTTCTGAAGCATCTCTTCAATGCTGGTCTTCCTCAGGTTCTGTCCCTGTGTCTCTGCCCATCTGCCTCCAACACTCACGAGTGATCTCACCAATGTCCATGAGCTCAGTGGGCCCCTCCTTTTTTTTTTTTTTGAGACTGAGTCTCATTCTGTCACTCACGCTGGAGTGTAGTGGCACAATCTCAGCTCACTGCAACCTCCCCCTCCCAAGTTCAAGCGATTCTCCTGCCTCAGCCTCCTGAGTAGCTGGGATTACAGGTGTGTGCCAACACGCCTGCACCCGGCTAATTTTCTGTTTGTTTTTAGTAGAGACGGGGTTTCACCATGCTGGCCAGGCTGGTCTTGAACTCCTGACCTCAAGTGATCCGCTTGCCTCAGCCTCCCAAAGTGCTGGGATTACAAGTGTGAGCCACCACGCCCAGCTGCCCCCTCTATTCTGACTTCAGCTGAGCTCTTTCTCCCCAGCTGGGTTGCCTCTAAGACATCTCGTTGTGACTGCCCCACACACCCCCTCAAGTTCAGCAAACACCAAAAGGAACTGATGACCTACCTCCAGTCCCAAATGTCTTGTGCTCTACTATCTTCTTAGTTGCTGAAGTCAGAAACTAGTATCCTTCTCCCCACACTGCTTTGTTTCCAGAGCTCCCCATGTTACTTGTGCCTCCCACGTGGTTCTCCAATGAGTCCACGTCTCTCCGTCACTGTTCTGAGGTCAGACAATTGCCAGCGCTTGCCAGGAGAATATCAACAGCCCCCTGACTGCTCCCCTGCCTCTGGCACCTCACCTGCCGTCCACTTTCTACATGGCACCCAGTGACTTCCTAAAGTGAACATCTGACCACTTCATTCCTTTGCTTAAATCTTCTCTTTGCCCGTTAACCCCAGAAAAAGACCAAACTCTTTAACATGGCTTACAAGATTTGTCAGGATCTGGTCACTGATTATCTTTTGCCAAACTCTTCTCCCCCAACCCCCTTGCAACCTCCACTCTGCCCAAGTTTTTTGCTCCAGCCACTTAAAATGACCTTCACAGGCCGGGCGCAGTGGCTCACACCTGTAATCCCAGCACTTTGGGAGGCCGAGGTGGGTGAATCATGAGGTCAGGAGTTTGAGACCAGCCTAGCCAAGATGGTGAAACCCCGTCTCTACTAAAAATACAAAACGCAGCCGGGTGTGGTGGCACATGCCTGTAATCCCAGCTACTCGGGAGGCTGAGGCAGGAGAATCACCTGAACCTGGGAGGCAGAGGTTGCAGTGAGCCTAGGTTGCACCACTGCACTCTAGCCTGGGTGACAGAGCAAGACTCCATCTCAAAAAAAAAATAATAATAATAAAATAAAATGACCTTCACTATGGTCCCTCTTGCCCTGTGCACAGCGCTATTCCTCTGTATGAAACATTCTTCCCCACCTTTGGATCCTTCCCATTTCATCTTGGCTACCCTTTCCTCATGACCCAACTTGGGTTGGTGCCTCCTGGATGCTCTCCTTTCATAGCATTAGCATGTTATAATTATTGCTTATCTGTCTCTCTCCTCCACTAGACCCAAAGCAACATGAGGGCAGGGAATGTGTCCTTCTTTCCTCTACTGTTTTCCCTGTTCCTAGCACAGTGCCCAGGTACATTGTAGATGCTCAATAAATATGTTGAATAATCAACTGGGTTGAATGAATGAATCAATGAACTCTGAGCTCTCACAGCTCCCATACTTGGCCCTATGGAAATACTTCTCCCTTTGTATTATAATTATTATATATTATAATTATAATTACCTGGTTACTTTCCATCCTCCTTTCTAATCTGGGGGCTCCTTTGGGATGGAAATTGTCTCAGTGCTGTATTCCCAATGTCCAGCACAAAACCTGGCACATGGTAGGCAATATTTATTGACTGTTGAACATTCATGGAAAATCTACCAATTGGTTTGACAAAACAATTTTTTTTCCTCTGGACATGTGTAATTTGGCTGAGATTTTATACTGGGAACGTATAATAAAGCCAAGTTTTCTACTAGGGAAATTGTTACCAGTTTGGATGAGATTTAAATATATCAAGATTTAATAGGATCTTTTTGTATAGTCCAGCACCACAGGAATCCCCAAGTTACCTATTGAATACATACTCATCAATAAATAAAGTTAGAAATAAGGGCTGGGCGCAGTGACTCACGCCTGGAATCCCAGCACTTTGGGAGGCCGAGGCAGGTGGATCACCGGGGGTCAGGAGTTCGAGACCAGCCTGGCCAAGATGGTGAAACCCCGTGTCTACTAACAATACAAAAAATTAGCCGGGCATGGTGGCGGGCACCTGTAATTCCAGCTACTTGGGAAGCTGAGGCAGGAGAATTGCTTGAATCTGGGAGGCAGAGTTGCAATGAGCCAAGATCATGACATTGCACTCCAGCCTGGGCAACAGTGAGACTCTGTCTCAAAAAAAAAAAAAAAAGAAATAAGGAGATAGTTTCCATCCTGAGCTATATTGAACCTGAAGATGACTATGATGATGTTGAAATACCCACAAATACTGAAAATCATCATTTTGAAAGAACTCCTGTTCTGCCACCTTAACTGTTTTAAGAACTGATGCTTGGCCAGGTGCGGTGGCTCATGCCTGTAATCTCAGCACTTTAGGAGGCCAAGGCAGGCGGATCACTTGAGGTCAGGAGTTTGAGACTAGCCTGGCCAACATAGTGAAACCCCATCTCTACTAAAAATACTAAAATTAGCTGGGCATGGTGGCGGGCGCCTGTAATCCCAGCTACTCAGGAAGCTGAGACAGGAGAATCACTTGAAGCTGGAAGGTGGAGGTTGCAGTGAGCCGAAATCGCACCACTGTGCCCCAGCCTGGGCGATAGAGTGACTCTGTCTTGAAAAAAAAAAAAGAACTGATGCTTTACTCATACCACAAATCAGTGGATTATAGTTTTCCTTATAATAATTACTATCTGATCTTCTTTGCAATACAAACAAGATTGTTTTCAGGAAATGCACTGGTATTACCAACAACAAATTTTACAAATCATGTGTATTCGATAGGATGCTTTAGGCTGCAAAGAACAGACTATCCAACTAAAGATAACTTACACAATGAGGAGTTTATAATTTCACAAAGCAAGAAGTCTAGAGGTAAACACTCCAGAATTCAGCAGCTCCATAATTTAGGGGTGTGGACTAATTTCAAATTGCTTAGCCTTATCCTCATGGTGGCAAAATAGCTGCCACAGCTCCAAGCATCTGTACATGATAACATTCAAAGTTAGAAAGAAAATGTGCATTACTAACATGTATCTTTTTTTTTTTTTTTTTTGAGATGGAGTCTCATTCTGTCACCAGGCTGGAGTGCAGTGGTGCGACCTTGGCTCACTGCAACCTCTGCCTCCTGGGTTCAAGCGATTCTCCTGCCTAAGCCTCCTGAGTAGCTGGGACCACCACACCCAGCTAATTTTTGTATTTTTAGTAGAGACAGGGTTTCACCATGTTGGCCAGGATGATCTTGATCTCTTGACCTCATGATCCACCTGCCTCAGCCTACCAACATGCTGGGATTACAGATGTGAGCCACCGCGCCTGGCTGTATCGTTTTATTAGGGAGGTGAGCCCCCAGCAACTTTCCCTAATGTCTCATTGGCCTGGAGTGGTCCACATACCCAGGGTTTTAGTCCATTTGGTCTACTATAACAAAATTCCTTAGACTGGATAATTTGTTAAAAACAGAAATGTTGCTGAGAGTTCTGGAGGCTGGGGAGTCCAAGATCAAGGCGCCAGCAGATTTGGTGTTTGGTGAGGGCTCACTCTGTGCTTCACACCTTCTCACCGTGTCTTCACATGATAGAAGGGGAAGACAGCTTTCTGGGGCCTCTTTTATATTATTTTATTTTTTGAGACAGAGTCTTACTTTGTCACCCAGGCTGGAGTGCAGCAGCACAATCATAGCTCACTGCAGCCTCAAACTCCTGGGTTCAGGTGATCCTCTCACCTCAGCCTCCTGAGTAGCTGGAACTACAGGCACATGCCACCACACCTGGCTGTTTTTTTTTTTTTTTTTTTGAGACGGAGTCTTGCTCTGTCGCCCAGTCTGGAGTGCAGTGGCATGATCTCAGCTCACTGCAAGCTCCACCTCCTGGGTTCACACCATTCTCCTGCTTCAGCCGCCCAAGTAGCTGGGACTACAGGCACCTGCCACCACAACTGGATAATTTTTTTGCATTTTTTTAGTAGAGACAGGGTTTCACCATGTTAGCCAGGATGGTCCTGATCTCCTGACCTCATGATCCACCTGCCTCGGCCTCCCAAAATGCTGGGATTACAGGCATGAGTCACCGCGCCCGGCCTATTTTTTTTCTTTCTTTCTTCCTTTTTTTTGGTAAAGATGGAGTCTCACTATGTTGCCCAGGCTGGTCTTGAACTCCTGGACTCAAATAATCCTCTTGTCTCAGCCTCCCTAAATGCTGGGATTACAGGTATGAGCCACCGCACCCAGCCTGGGTCCTCTTTCATAAGGGCATTCATCCCATTCATGAGGGCAGGGCCCTCATGATCTAATCACCCCAAACACCCTGCTTCTTAATACCATCATCTTGGGGGTTAGATTTCAACATACGAATTCTGTGGGGACACAAACATAGACCATAGCATTCTGCCCATGACCTCACAAAATCCATGTCCTTCTCAAATGCAAAATAGATTTATTCCATCCCAATAGCCCTAAAAGTCTTAACTCATTCCAATAACAGCTTTAAAGTCTAAGTCAACATCTCAACTAAATGTTGACTCATTCCAAGTCTGGGCAAAAGTCAAGATATGATTCATCCTGAGGCAAATTGCTCTCCAATTATGAGCCTGTGAAATCAAACTACTTATACAATGTAAGTATGCTTCCAAAATACAATGGTGGGACTGACATAGGATAGAAATTTCCATTCCAAAAGGGAGAAATAGGAAAGAAGAAAGGGGTGATGGGTCCCAAGTAAGTCCGAAACTCAACATGGCAAACAACATTAAGTCTTAAGGTTTGAGAATAATGTTTGACTTGACGTCCTACCCCCCAGATATTGGGATGGGGGTTGGGCCTCCAAGACTCGGGGCGGCCCCCCCATGGCTTTGCTGGGCACAGCCCACTCTGCAGCTTTCATGAGTTGGAGTCTCGGACCTGCAGCTTTCCCAGGCTGGAGTTGCACGCTGGTGGCCCTAACATTCTGGGGTCTTGGAGGCACCCCCGTCCCCATGGCTGTGCTGGGCATTGCCCTAGTGGGGGCTCTCCGCAGTGGCCCTGCCCCTTTGGCGGTGCTCCGTCTGGGCCTCAAGATTCCCCCAGGAATCCTTTGAAATCTAGGTAGAGGTAGCAATGCCCTCACAGCCCATGCACTTTGCGCAGCTGTGGAGATAAAACTGCTTGGACACCACCATGCTTTACTGTCTATGCCTCCCAGAGGGATGGCCTGAGTCACAGCTGGGCCCACTTGAGTCACAGCTAGGGTATGCCAGGAGCCCTGCACCAGAATGCAGGGAGCAGAGCCTTGAAATCGCTTTGACTTCAAGGTCCTAGTTTTCTGGGCCTGTGATGGGCAGGGCAGCCTCTAAAGATCTTCGGAATGGTTTCAGGGTCCTTCTTCGCTGTGATGCTGAGCATCTGGCTTCCATCTCCCCACACTAACCTCCTTATCAAAAGTTTCCTTGGTCACATTCTTGGTGTTTTCTCTTCAACAAGCTTTTTCATTCTTTACAACATGGGCAGGTTGGTAAATTTCTAAATATTTAAATTCTGCTGCTTTTTAAATCATAAATAACATCTTTGGCCGGGGGCGGTGGCTCATGCCTGTCATCCCAGCATTTTGGGAGGCTGAGAAGGGCACATCGCCTGAGGTTAGAAGTTCGAGACCAGCCTGGCTAACATGGTGAAACCCCGTCTCTACTAAAAATACAGAATTAGCCAGGCGTCGTGGCACAAACCTGTAATCCCAGCTACTCAGGAGGCTGAGGCAGGAGAATCACTTGAACCCAGGAGGTGGAGGTTGCAGTGAGCCAAGATCGCGCCACTGCACTCCAGCCTGGGCAAAAAGAGCAAAACTCTGTCTCAGAAAGAAAGAGAGAGAGAGAGAGAAAGAGAGAGAGAGAGAGAAAGAGAAAGAAAGACCATCTTTAATTGGTTTCTCTCTGCTAGCATTTTACTACAGGCATTCAAGAGAAGCTTTGCCGCACTCTCAACACTTTACTCAGATATTTTTTCCACCGAATATCCTATTTCATCACTCAGAATTTCTACCTTCCATAAAACACTAGGACATACAATTCAGCCACATTCTTTGCCAGATAATCAGGATCATTTTTCTGCCAGTTTCCAATAACATGTTCTTCATTTCCATCTGAGACCTCATCAGAATGGCCTTTAACATCCATACTTCTACTAGCCTTCTGGTACAACCTCTTAGGTAATCTCTAAGAAAACTGAGGCTTTCTCTGTAGCTCTCCTCTTCTTCTGAGCCCTCACCAGAATCACCCTTCACAATCTATTTACAACAATACAGGCTTATTTTGTGTGTGAGACAGAGCCTCATTCTGTCACCCAGGCTGAGAGTGTAGTGGCTCGATCTCAGCTCACTGCAACCTCCGCCTCCCAGGTTCAAGCGATTATCTTGCCTCAGCCTCCCAAGTAGCTGGGATTACAGGTGCCCACCACCACACCTGGCTAATCGTTGTATTTTAGTAGAGATGGGGTTTCACTATGTTGGCCAGCCTGGTCTTGAGCTCCTGACCTCAAGCAATCCACCTGCCCTGGCCTCCCAAAGTGCTGAGATTACAGGCATGAGCCACCGCGCCCAGCCAATTTTGACTCTTTAAAGAGATTCAAATAATCTCTTAAGTCAGTAGTCCAAAAGGCTACGACCAACAATTTTGGTTTATCTTCCCGTTGAAAGGATCCTCCATACAGAACTCCACATCCAAACCTATTCATGCTGTATCAACAACTTTAGAACCCAGTAACTCCAGGAGTCTGGTTATTATGACAAATGAATACAGTGGACCATCTCTTCTGCCGAGGCGACAGTTCCCTCATTTAACCCCACTAATAGCTAGATAATCCCCTAAAGACAGATTTAAAAAAAAATTTCTTGCCGGGCGCCATGGCTCACGCCTGTAATCCCAGTACTTTGGGAGGCTGAGGCGGATCATAAGGTCAGGAGATCGAAACCATCCTGGCCAAGATGATGAAACCCCGTCTCTACTAAAAATACAAAAATTAGCTGGCGTGGTTGTGCGCACCTGTAGTCCCAGCTACTCGGGAGGCTGAGGCAGGAGAATCGCTTGAACCTGGGAGATGGATGTTGCAGTGAGCTGAGATTGTGCCACTGCACTCTGGCCTGGCGAAAGAGCAAGACTGTATCTCAAAAACAAACAAACACAATTTCCATTTGTTTTTGTGATGTATGTTGCATCATAGTACTATTTCTGCGTGAACATGTCTCCTGAATTGGAGTTTGCTTCTGTTTATAACCTATTCCATCTGCTTTCCCTGAGTGCACATGTGTGTGCTCTGCCATGGCTAAGCGGCAGAATGGAATCTCACTTAAATTAACAGTTGATTGCCAAACACCCTCCAGCATAAATAGGTAACCGTTGACTGTGGTCGCATTTCATTTTACTGGAGCAGAGTGTACATACAACTATGTGCCAAACTACTGTCAGAAACAGCCAATTAATATCGCTGCACCCTTCCCCTTCAACTGTAAAACTCAACCTCTCATATTGACCAACGTATTTCTTTTTTTCTAGCTGGGATTATAGGCTCCCACCACCACGTCCGGCTAATTTTTGTATTTTTAGTAGAGATCGGGTTTCGCCATATTGGTCAGGCTGGTCTCGAACTCCTGACCTCAGGTGATCCACCTGTCTCGGCCTCACAAAGTGTTAGGATTACAGGCATGAGCCACTGCGCCCAGCCTGATCAACATATTCCATTGCCAAAATTTAATGCCATTAAAGTTTTAGATCAGCTACACTTGAACAATTAAATATTCTATGAATAATTTTAAAAAGCCCTAAACTGGTAAAAATAAACTCTCATTTACAAAGTGAACTATAAACTAACAGCCTTTAAGTTGTTTTAACACTAGATCCCTCTGTATTTTTTTTTTTTTTTTTACAAATTAGGTGTTAGTGGAACATGGTTTTAACAAAAATTGCAGAAGGTAGTATTTAAGAATAACGAAATTCCCCTGATGTTAAAAAAGGTTTATTTGCATAACTTGTACACTTTTATCCCCAATGAGCCCCCAAACAAAAATAAATTTTCCGATACATGTAATGTTGATACTGTACAAAGCCATTCTCAGTGACCAAGAAAAACTTCCTCTGAGAACATTTAAGATAAATGTGACCCTGCTTTTCACAGTATTGTTTAGAAAAGAAAATGAACATTTCATACAGCAACTCACTGTTGTATTGTATCACTAGTCTACTTTATTTTTTTTTCTTTTACTAGTCTAATAATTTCACAATTCTTTACAATTTGAGATTTGGGAAAAACAACGACAAAAACATCAAGGATATGTACTTTTTTTTTTTTTTTTTTGAGACAAGGTCTTACTCTGTCACCCAGGCTGGAGTGCAGCGGCACAATCTCAGCTAACTGCAACCTCTGCCTCCCAGGCTGAAGCCATCCTCCCACCTCAGCTTCCCAAGTAACTGGGACCACAGGCATGCACCACCATGCCTGGCTAATTTTTTTTTCCCCTAAGTTAGTAAAGGCTTCTAACTAACTTTTAAAATTATTTTCTGTAGAGATGGGGTTTTGCCATGTTGCCCAGGCTGGCCTCAAATTCCTGGGCTCAAGTGATTTGTCCTCCTCAGCCAGTTTTTTTGTTTGTTTGTTTGGTTGGTTTTTTTCTTTCTTTTTTTTTTTTTGAGACAGAGTCTTGCTCTGTCGCTCAGGCTGGAGTGCAGTGGCGCGATCTTGGCTCACTGCAACCTCTGCCTCCTGGGTTCAAGTGAGTCTCCTGCCTCAGCCTCCTGAGTAGCTGGGACTACAGGCGTGCACCACCATGCCCAGCTAATTTTTGTATTTTTAGTAGAGATGGGGTTTCACCATATTGGTTAGTCTGGTCTTGAACTCCTGACCTTGTGATCCACCCACTGAGGCCTCCCAAAGTGCTGGGATTACAGGCGTGAGCCACCGTACCCGGCCTGGTATTTTTGGGGTTTTTTTTGTTTGTTTTTTGTTTTTTAAGATTAGCTTTTGACCAGTTGAGGTGGTTCACGCCTGTAATCCCAGCACTTTGAGAGGCCGGATGGCTTGAGGTCAGGAGTTTGAGACCAGCCTGGCCAACATGATGAAACCCCATCTCTACTAAATATATAAAAAAAATAGTCAGGTGTGGTGGTGCGTGCCTATAATCCCAGCTACTCAGGAGGCTGAGACAGGAGAATTGCTTGAACCTGGCAGGTGGAAGGTGCAGTGAGCCAAGATTGCACCACTGCACTCCAGCCTGGGAGATGGACTGAGACTCCTTCTTAAGAAAAAAAAAAAAAAAAAAAAAAAAAAAAAGGCCAGGCGCAGTGGCTCACACCTATAATCCCAGCACTTTGGGAGGTTGAGGTGGGTGGATCACGAGGTCAGGAGTTTGAAACCAGCCTGGCCAACATGGTGAAACCCTGTCTCTACTAAAATACAAAAAATTAGCTGGGCGTGGGAGTGCGCGCCTATAATCCCAGCTTCTCGGGAAGCTGAGGCAGGGGAATCACTTGAATCCAGGAGGCGGAGGTTGCAGTGAGCCAAGATCGCGACACTGCACTCCAGCCTGGCAACAGAGCAAGACACCATCTCAAAATAAATTTAAAAAAAATAATAAATTAGCTTCAGCCACTTTGGAGAGCAATTTGGCAACACCTAGTAAAACTGAAATTGTGGACACTGTAAAACACAGCAACTCCACTTCGGGATAGATACCATAGAACAGCAGTCCCCAACCTTTTTGGCACTAGGGACGGGTTGGGAGGAAAGGGGGGAATGGTTTTGGTATGAAACTGCTCCACTTCAGATCATCAGCCATTACATTCTCGTAAAAGGCGTGCAACCCAGAGTCCTCATGTGTGCAGTTCACAATAAGGTTCGTGCTCCTATGAGAATGTAATACCGCCCCTGATCTAACAGGAGGCAGAGCTCAGGAAGTAATGCTCGCTTGCCCTCCACTTACTTCCTGCTGTGCAGCCTGGTTCCTAACAGGCCACAGACTGTACTGGTCCAGGCCCGGGCAATGGGGACCCTTGCCCTAGAACAGTGAGTCTCAAACCACTTGGTACCAGGTCTCCATTGCACTTAAAAATGATGGAGGGAGCCAGGCTCAGTGGTGAGAGCTTGTAGATCCACCTACTTAGGAGGTTGAGGTGGGTGGACTGCTTGAGCCCAGGAGTTAGAGGCCAGCCTGGGCAACATAGCAAGACTCAATCTCTACAAAAACTAAAAATAAAAACGTTAGCCAGGCATAGTGGTGAGCACCTGTAGTCCCAGCTACTTGGGAGGCAGAGGCGGGAGGATCACTTGAGCCCACGAGTTTGAGGCTGCAGTGAGCTATGGTGCCACTGCACTCCAGCCTGGGCAACAGAGTGAGACCCTCTCTCCAAAAAATAATAAAATAACTATATTTTCCCAAACAAAAAAATTAGTGAGAAAAGTGTCACTGTGTATGTTACATTTTTTTTTTCAAATCTCATATCTGGCTTAATAGAAAACATCTGAATTCTCCTATCTGCTTCTGCCATCAATTTGTTGCAATGTCGTATGTCATGTAGCCTCATGGAAAGGTCCATTGAACATTCGTGAGAAGAGTGAGCATGAAAAAGGCCAAATAACATCTTAATATTATTATGAAAATTGTTTTGGTCTCATGGCCCAGACCACTCTTTGAGAACCACTGCCCTAGAGAAACTCAAGTGTATGTATAAAACGTTCTTTGTAGTATTATTTGTTATAATGAGAAGGTGGAACCAACCTATCTGTCCATCAATGAGGGACTATAAGATCCACAGGGACTACACTGGTGTTGCTTTGCTCACCATTGCATTTCCAGTAACTTAGCATATATTAGCACACAATAGGTGCTCAGTCAACTTTTGTGGAAGTAGAGAAGGAAGGGAGAGAGGCAGAAAAGAAGAAAGTGAGGAGGTACAAATATTGTTCTGCAACCTGCTATTTTAATTCAACTCTACCTCATGGACATCTTTTCACAGATTTAGACTCTTAGTTCACAGGGTAGGAAAGCACAAAGGCCATAGGACTCTTGCATAATGGGAAGCTTATTTTTCTATTGTCTAAAAATAAAGGCGTATTTAAGATGTCTCTTTAGGCAGGGCGTGGTGGCTCACGCCTGTAATCTCAGCACTTTGGGAGGCCGAGGTGGGTGGATCACCTGAGGTTGGGAGTTCGAGACCAGCCTGACCAACATGGAGAAACCCCGTCTCTACTAAAAATACAAAAATTAGCCGGGCATCATGGCACATGCCTGTAATCCCAGCAATGTGGGATGCTGAGGCAGGAGAATTGCTTGAAGCTGGTAGGCAGAGGTTGTGGTGATCCAAGATCAGGCCATTGCACTCCATCCAACCTGGGCAACAAGAGCAAGACTTCGTCTCAAAAAAAAAAAAAAAAAAAAAAAAAAGTCTGTTTAATACAACCACGGGCTGCAAATCACTGCCACCTAGTGGTGTATTAAGAAGTTCACACATGGGGCCCTGGCGCGGTGGCTCAGGCCTGTAATTACGGCACTTGAGGAGGCCGACCTGGGTGGATCACCTGAGGTCAGGAGTTTGAGACCAGCCTGGCCAACATGGCGAAACCTCGTCTCTACTAAAAATACAAAAATTAGTTGGGCATGTTGGCGCGCGCCTGTAGTTGCAGCTACTCTGGAGGCTGAAGCAGGCGAATCGCTTGAATCCAGGAAGCAGAGGTTGCAGTGAGCCGAGATTGTGCCACTGCACTCCAGCCTGGGCAACAGAGCAAGACTCCATCTCAAAGCAAAAACAAACAAATGGCCAGGCACAGTGGCTTATGCCTGTAATCCCAGCACTTTGGGAGGCTGAGGCAGGAGGATCACCTGAGGTTGGGAGTTCGAGACCAGCCTGACCAACAAGGAGATACCCTGCCTCTACTTAAAATACAAAATTAGTCGGGTGTGCTGGCGCATGCCTGTAATTCCAGCTACTCTAGAAGGCTGAGGCAGGAGACTCGCTTGAACCCGGGAGGCGGAGGTTGCGGTGAGCCGAGATCGTGCCATTGTACTCTAGCCTGGGCAACAAGAGTGAGACTCCATCTCAAAACTACAAAAACAAACAGACAAAAACTGTCTTTTGTATGCTGCTGAGATGGCTGATGGCTGGGAGCCCCTAGATAACTTCAGGACGGGGGCTAGTTGCCAAAAAGATCAAGGCAGGATCTCCAAGGGAGGGGAGGGAGAGGGGCTGAAGGTTGAGTTCATCACCAATGGCCAATGATTTAATCAATCATGCCTATGTAATGAAGCCTTCATAAAAACCCCAAAGGATAGAGTTCTAGGAGCTTCCAGATAGCTGATCACATGGAGGATGGTGGATGGTTCCTGGAGGATGGCACTCAGAGAGGGCATGGAAGTGCCACACACCTTTCTGCATACCTTGCCCTATGCATCTCTTCCATCTGGTTATTAACCTATATCCTTTGTAATATCCTTTATCATAAATGGGTAAATATAAGTAAGGTGTTTCCCTGAGTTCTGTGAGCTGTCCTGGCAAACCCTAGGAGGGATTTGTGGGAACCTCACTTTAGAGCCAGTTTGTCAGAAATACAGGTCACAGCCAAGAGTTTACAATTGGCATCTGAAGTGGGCAGTAGTCTTGTGGGACTGCGGGATCTAACACTATCTCCAGGTAGATAGTGTCAGATTGAATTGAATTAGAGGACAGCTATCTGGTGTCTGCTAGAGAATTGCTCAGTATGTGGAGAAAGCCCCCACCCATCTGGTGTCAGAAGTATTGTGTTGAGTGACCGCATAAGACAGTAAAGAGGGCCAGGCTCAGTGGCTCATGCCTGTAATCCCAGCACTTTGGGAGGTTGAGGCAGGCAGACCGTGAGGTCAAGAGATCGAGACCATCCTGGCCAACATGGTGAAACCCCGTCTCTACTAAAAATACAAAAATTAGCCAGGTGTGGTGGTGCGCGCCTGTAGTCCCAGCTACTCAGGAGGCTGAGGCAGGAGAATCGCTTGAACCCAGGAGGCAGAGGTTGCAGTGAGCTGAGATCACACCACTGCACTCCAGCCTGGTGACAGAGCAAGACTCTGTCTCAAATAAAATAAAATAAAATAAAATAAAATAAGCTCCAAGACCGGGCACGGTGGCTCACGCCTGAAATCCCAGCAGTTTGGGTTTGGGAGGCTGAGATGGGAGGATTGCTTGAGCCCAGGAGTTCAAGACTAGCCTGGGCAACATAGTGAGACTCAGTTTCTCCAAAAGTACAAACATTTTCTGGGTGTTGTGGTGTGCACCTGTGGTCTCAGCTACTTGGGATGCTGAGGTGGGAGGATTGTTTCAGCCTGGGAGTTTGAAGCTGCACTGACCTGTGATTGCACCGCCATACTCCAGCGTGGGCCACAGAGTGGAGCCTCCCATCTCAGTTAAAAAGAAAAGAAAAGAAAAGAAATCTGGTAGGCCAGGAGTGGTGGCAGGTTTGGCTCATGCTTGTAATCCCAGCACTCTGGGAGTCTAAGGTGACAGGATTGCTTGAAGCCAGGAGTTCCAGAACAGCCTGGTCGATCTAGGCAGACCCCATATCTACAAAAAACTAAAAACAAAATTAGCCAGGCATGGTGGCAGTACCTGTAGTCCCAGCCACTCAGAAGGCTGGAGGATCACTTGAGCCCAGGAGGATGAGGCTGCAGTGAGCTATGATCATGCCACTGACAGAGTGAGACCTTGTCTCTTAAAAAAAAAAAAAAAAAAAATCTGTCAGGGTTAGTTGTCGTCAGAACCATTTTACATGTGTACGAATGTTTTCTTGTAATTCTTATACTACTTTTAAAATAACAAAATAAAGTTTAAAAAAATTTATTTTAAGAACTGAGATCTGCATAAGCCAGAAAAATGAAAATGGGAGGCAGTGGGTGTGGGGAAGACAGCAGCTGCATTTTTTTATTGAGAAATATATAAGTCTTGCCAAAAGTGGTTATTTTGGCTTTTTAGTCTTAAAAAGAATAGCTCTTCTTTTTGATCTCCTTTAGAGTTCACATGCTACCCCTGACAGCAGCATGGATTCATTATGTAATTTATTCATTCTACAAATATGTATGGAGTGCTGGCTCTGTGCCGGGCACTGGTGATACAGTGAATGTTGAGGAAAACCCAAGGCACTCTCAGGGAACCTGAAGTCATGTGGAGCTCTTTTATGTCATGCATGTTATCCCTTTTCCTATCATGCATGTTACAAATATTTTCCCTTTTAATACTTTCACGATCTACACCACTTCTTTTTTCTTTTTTCTTTTCTTTTTTTTTGAGAAGAGTCTCGCTCTGTCACCCAGGGTGGAGTGCAGTGGCGCGATCTTGGCTCACTGCAACCTCCGCTTCTCCAATTCAAGCGATTCTCCTGCCTCAGACTCCCAGGTGGCTGAGACTACAAGCACGCACCACGACATCCAGATAATTTTATTTTTTTTTTGAGACGGAGTCTTGCTCTATCGCCCAGGCTGGAGTGCAGTGGCAAAATCTTGGCTTACTTAAGCTCTGCCTCCTGGGTTCACGCCACTCTCCCGCCTCAGCCTCCCTAGTAGCTGGGACTACAGGCTCATGCTGCCATGCGCGGCTAATTTTTTTTTATTTTTTTTATTTTTTAGTACAGACGGAGTTTCACCATGTTGGCCAGGCTGGTCTTGAACTCCTAACCTCAAGTGATCCACTCGCCTCAGCCTCCCAAAGTGCTAGGATTACAGGCATGAACCACCTCGCCCAGCCTGTACGATTTTTTTTAAACCCATTTATTTTATTTTATTTATTTGTTATACTTTAAGTTATAGGGTACATGTGCACAACGTGCAGGTTTGTTACATAGGTATACATGTGCCATGTTGGTTTGCTGCACCCATCAACTCGTCATTTACATTAGGTATTTCTCCTAATGCTATCCCTCCCCCAGCCCCCCACCCCCCACCAGCCCTGGTATGTGATGTTCCCCACCCTCTATCCATGTGTTCTCATTGTTCAACTCCCACTTATGAGTTCTAACTCATTTTTGCCTCCCAGAGGATCCCGGTGTCTTAGCTGTGGATCTCTCAATACTTGCAGGTCACAGGGCCACAGAGGCTGGGCCTCTAGGAGCAGAGGACACGGAACAGTCTATTTTTTTTTTTATTTTTTTGAGACAGTGTCTTGCTCTGTTGCCCAGGCTGGAGTGAAGTGGTTCCATCTCGGCTCACTGCAACCTCCACCTCCCGGGTTCAAGCTATTTTCCTGCCTCAGCCTCCCGAGTAGCTGGAACTACAGGCGCCTGCCATCATGCCAGTTAATTGTTTTGCATTTTTAGTAGAGACGGGGGTTTCACCATGCTGGCCAGGCTGGTCTTGAACTCCTGAGCTCAAGTGATGCGGCCTCCTAGGCCTCCCAAAGTGCTGGGATTACAGGTGTGAGCCACCGTGCCCTGCCTTAAAAACCCATTTCTAAATTCCAAAGAGTAACTTCTATTAGTGCACTCTTATTAAGAGAGGTAAAGCAAAAGGAACTATAAAAGCAACTATAATTGAAGTCTATTTGAGACATGGCTCAGTATTTCAATGAAAATGTAACACAGTCAATGAAATACTATCTCAAATGTAGTTGTGCAAATTAAGGAATAGTTGGTAGTAGCTGCATTTACAAATTCAAGAGTGAAACGTGCATAATTCGTGCAACCCAAAGTTTGGGACAGAGAGATATGAGAAGCCAAAGTGACTAGTGCACTGACAGTTTTGCTTCGGAAAGGCTTGGGGTTGGACATCTTACATCTTTACATACATATATAACCCTTACCACGATCCTACGCTACGCGAACCAACATCATCTCCATAGTAATAACTAATATGTATCTGGCCTTCGCCACATGCAAACTTCACATACATATGTCAGTGAGGTCGGTCCTATTATTTACCTCACTTTACAAATGAAGCAACGGAGGCGCGAAGAAGCTATTAATAGGTAACTTGTTCAAAGTCACATAGCCCCTAAGTGGTGGGGCAAGGATTCTGAGTGTCTGACTTTCTCACTTCGGAACTTACACTTTTAAACATTAAGCTGTCCTTGTTGGGATCTGTATCGCCTAGCCTTTGACCGGGCATTGCAAATAGAAGTCATCAATGAATGAGACCACAAATGCATGCAGGGAACAATAACAAAAGATGAAAACAGAACAGGCAGAACAGGAGTTCGAGACTAGCCTGGCCAACATGGCGAAACCCCGTCTCTACTAAAAATACAAAAATTAGCAGGGCGTGGTGGTGGGCGCCTGTAATCCCAACTACTGGGGAGGCCGAGGCAGGAGAATCGCTTGAACCTGGGAGATGGAGGCTGCAGTGAGCCGAGATCGCGCCATTGCACTCCGGCCTGGGCGAAAGAGCGAGACTCCATCTCAAAAACAAAACAAAAGGGCAGAACAAAAACGTAGTTACTTGAAGGGGTCACTCACCCCGGACCCGACCGTGCCACAGCCCCGACGCCACGCATGTCTAGGACCAGCTGAGGACGCGGCCTCTCGGCGGTAACCTTGGTAACCAGCCAGCGCGCCGCTGGCCCTCCGGAAGTCAGACTCCGCCGGGCTGAGCCGAGCTACGCCAGCGCCGACTGGCGTCGTGGAGGAGTCTGCGCAGAGGAGACACCTGATCCGGTGGGAGACGGCCAGGGGAGCGCGCGCGGATTGGCTGGAGCCGACGGGGGACGGCTGGGCGGGGCGCGGACTGGGGGACCGCAGTCCCGGGGAGCGCACCGGAAGTTCTCGCCTGGCCCAGGCGCGGGGTCCAAGATGGTGGCGCTAGGAGCCGCGACCCAGTGATAGCGGCCGTGGAGGGGCCCCCGACCGAGCGGGAGGTTGGGGGTAGCCTGGAGGTGAGACCCCGCTGCGTTCACAGAGCTGGCGGCCGCGGCGCCTGCGTCCACCGGCAAGCGAGGAGTGGAGCAGAGCTCATATGCCTATGGGGAGAGGCCTGGGGGACCGCAGGAGGATGTAGGCGCCGGGTGCGCATGACTGGGCCTTCTTGCTCTCGGTCGGCTTCTTGGTCTCGGCGTGCCCCATTCCCGGCCCTGTCCCGCTACTCTTGCCTGTTCCAGTTCCCTCCTGTGGGTACCGCTAACGGCATCTTCCCGAGGCCCAGAATCCACCGTCAGGCATAAATTGATTATTCCTCGCCCACATCTGTGCCAGGTATATTTGTATATGTAACCAAATCTGGTTTTTGCATCCCACGAGTGACCCCGCTGGGGAGGCTAGACTAAGCCACAGGAATGAACTGTATTGTTCATATATGTTCTACTACTCAGTCTAAAATATTAGGACTGTTAGAGTTCAAACAAGGGAGGGATTTAGGTGGGCTGGTCTCTTTGTAAGGGTCTACATTGCTTTTAGGAGCAGCTTCTATTGTGACCAAGCGAGTTACAGAGAAACGCCACACTTTGAGACAAATTAAAGAGTCCTTATTAGCCGGCAACCGAGAGGCAGCTAGCGCCCAAAATTTTCTCGGCCCTGAGGAAGGGGCTAGTTTTGTTTTTATACCGTGGTCTAAATAGGGGAGGGGGGATTTTAGCTGAAGCAATTTTTACAGAAGCAGAACTGGCAAAAAGTTGAAAAATTAATTGGTTACAAATGCAGTTACAAAATATAAACAGTTCCAATTGCACGGGCTTAAACTATCACAAAGAGATAAATGCAGGGGTTTTGCTTGCCATCCACCGAGCGCGTCCCCAGGAGCTGCTGGTGCAGCTTGCCTCAATATCTTATCAGTAGGTGCATTCCTGGACGTGCTTTGAGTCAGTTTACACTAGCTATGCCTTAAGGGAGGGAGGTGAAAGGGGGCTGCCAGTGGAGAAACTAAAATGGAGTCTGTCCGGCTCTCTCTCTGCTAGGAGAGAGTCACTCAGGTTAAAACAAAGTAGGGTATCACACTTCAAAAGTCATTTCTTTTGGGAAGCCTTCCCGGATTGCCACCGCAGCGCTTTTAGCATCTAATTCATAGGCTCTTACTACCTTGTTTCATGTGTGAGTCTTCCTCTAGGCATAGATTCTTTGTTTAGCTTCACCTAATGCGTGCCCATGAATGTGAATTAAAAAGGATTGACATAGTTAAAAGATACTAAGAACTGGGCATGAAATAGTGGCATTTCTTAAGTTAAAAAATAGTGGCCCCTAGGCCAGCTTTGAGTGTAGACACATTTTCTTGGCTCATGCTGTTTGTTTTTATTTGAATTAATGGCCAACTTCCTTTTTTTTCTTAAGACAGAGTCTCGCTCTGTCAACAGACTAGAGTGCAGTGGTGCGATCTCGGCTCACTGCAACCTCCGCCTCCCAGGTTCAAGCGATTCTCCTGCCTCAGCCTTCCGAGTAGCTGGGACTACAGGCATGTGCCACCACGCCCAGCTAATTTTGTATTTTTAGTAGACACAGGATTTCTCTCCATGTTGGTCAGGCTGGTCTCGAACTCCCAACCTCTGGTACTCTGCCTGCCTCAGCCTCCCAAAGTGCTGGAATTACAGGTGTGAGCCACTGCGCCCGGCCTGTGTTTGCTCTTTTCTTTAGGAACACTAATTATATGTATTTGATTATCTTTCTTTAGTTACTGGTTTTCTCTGTAATCACATTTGTATTCATTTCATTTTTTATTATTTCTCCAGGCCTCATTGTGACCTTGTAGTGATTATTTTTGTTGTTCCTTATGTGAATTTCATCTACATAATGCTTTTTATTTGCCCTTCCATTTCTTTCCTCAGCATTGTCAAATCACTTCTCACTACTTTTTATTGTTTTCTAATCTAATTTGTTTTTGGCCAGGCATGGTGGCTCATGTCTGTAATCTCAGCACTTTGGGAGGCTGAAGAATCCCTTGAGGCCAGGAGTTTGAGACCTGCCTGGGCAACATAGCAAGACCTTTTCTCTACAAAAAAATTATTTAAACTAGCTGGGTATGGTGGTGTGCCTATGGTGTCAGGCTGAAGTGGGAGGATTGCTTGAGCCCAGGAGTTTGAGGTTGCAGTGAGCTATGATTGCACCACTGCACTCCAGCCTGGGTGACAGAATGAGAGCATGTATGAAAAAAACAAAACAAGCTGGGCACAGTGGCTCACGCCTGTAATGCTAGCACTTTGGGAGGCTGAGGCAGGAAGATCCCTTGAGGCCAGGAGTTCCAGAACACCCTGGACAACACGGCAAGCCCCATCTCTACAAAAACTTAGCCATGTGTGCTGCAGCATGCCTGTAATCCCAGCTACTTGGGAGGCTGAGGTGGGAGAATCATCTCAGCCTGGGAGGTCAAGGCTGCAGTGAACCATGATTACACCACTGCACTCCAGCCTGGGTGACAGAGACCCTGTCTCCAAAAAAAAAAGTGAAAAAAAAATGGCCTGGCACAGTGGCTCACACCTATAACCCCAGCACTTTGGGAGGCCAAGGTGGGAGGATCACTTGAAGCCAGGAGTTCAAGACCAGCCTGGGCAGTATACTGAGGCCCCATTGCTATTATTTTTTCCTTTCTCTTTTCTTTTTTTTTTTGGCTACATGACTCAATATTTTTTTTTAAATTAAAAATGTCAAATTTTTGGCTGGGCGTGGTGGCTCACCCCTGTAATCCCAGCACTTTGGGAGGCCAAGGCGGGCAGATCACGAGGTCAGGAGATCGAGACCATCCTGGCTAATGTGGTGAAACCCCGTCTCTACTAAAAGTACAAAAAATTAGCTGGGCGTACTGGTGGGCGCCTGTAGTCCCAGCTACTCGGGAGGCTGAGGCAGGAGAATGGCGTGAACCCGGGAGGCGGAGCTTGCAGTGAGCCGAGATCGCGCCATTGCACTCCAGCCTGGGTAACAGAGCAAGACTCCATCTCAAAAAAAAAAAAAAAGTCAAAATTTTAAATGTAAATGTGTAATCTGTTTTAAACCCTTATATCTCTTCTTTAGGCTTTTATTTAAAGAGTTATTTTGTCTGAAATTTCTTTGAGATAATGGAGAATTCTCTGCTGAATGTTTCCTATTAATTTCTTTGTATTCTTCATGGATGTATGTTTCTGTTGCTGATGTTCCTTTCTTTCCTTTATTCTTCCCTGAAAATGTGTATTTTTTTATTTTAAGCATACATCCCACAAATTTATCTTAACAATTACTACTCAATAATGAATGAAGCAGGCTCTTTATTAAAAAGTACTATGGGAACAAACAGAGGAAATTGAGCCCAGGCACTTGAAAGCCTTCATACAGATTTGCTGCCACAAACGCCTCATCAAATCTAGAGGCATACCTTCCTTCAGCTTCTGGCTTTCAAGACTTCAGTATGACACAATAAAAGCCCTTCAGATCACAAGTTTTTTGTGAAAAAAAAAAAAAAAGGGCAGCCTTTAATCTACTATCTTTTAAATAGTAATCTGCTCCTGAATTTTGAACTCTCTCTCTCTATATATATATGTATATCGAACCAAAAAAAAAAAAAAACACTAAACACTTCAAGGGAAAATTATGACAAAGCCAATTCTCTCCAATAATAAAGGTCAGGGATTTGATAATATGGGCACCCAA